>NW_025791777.1:300000-465011 GCF_000001405.40 Homo sapiens | reverse complement strand
TTTTTCCATTCCATCATTTTATAGTTTTTGCCTAAATAAAATACTTAAGGAAGTTATTGTTATGTTGTATTTGAAAGATGCCTGATGGAGAAACATTCATAGTTCTTTTCTATCCTTATGAAAGGTTATATGAAAACATATATATATGTGTATATATAAACATGTGGATAAAGTACAGAAAATCCTATCATTGCCTCTGACTCAAATGGTAATCTTTAATATAAAGATTTGAAACTTTCATGGAACAGTATATCAGAACTTTATTTCCAATTTGTTTATGTATACTTAACGTATATCCTAAGTATCAAGAAATCACATTCAATTAACATATACATTATAAAACAATTCCTATATGATAATTCTAATAAGTAAACATGATTTTAGTGGTAGTAATTATTCAATCAAATATTCATATTTTAAAGATTAAATCTTCATATTTTAAAGCACATTACATCAGTTTACAATTCGATATTGACTACTGGATAGAATTTATCAATGAAATTTTGAATATGGCATGGTTAATGCAGATCATGTGAATTAAATTGCAAGGCAGAGAGCTTTTAAATTAAAAAAATAAGCTGGTTTATAAATCCAGTGCTAGATAGTTAATAAAAGCAATACATATAAATCTCCCAGACACCTCCCAATCTTGGTATTTTGAAATATTTTCCTCTTTTTAATATTATTTAAATAAAAAAATTATCTGCCTTTAAGCAACAAAACATGAACTCTTGGTAGAAAATTCACTAATTGACATAGGTATCTAGACTTATAAACCTGTAAAAAATGTGAAATAGAAGGCATAAAGTATTTGAGTCAATAAATTACTAACTAAATCTTTTGATTAAATCAGCTTATAAAAAAAGTAAACGTAAACACATAAGTCTTTGTATAAGCACCCCTACATTTTTAAAAGTATATTTGCCTTTTCATAAACTCAGTTGAGTAGTGGTAACATTCATCATCACAACTTTTTAGAGGCAATGAAATTGATGTCATTTGAGGTCTTCATCTCATATTTATCTTTTATTTTCTTATTTTGTCATGTTTAGCAAAGGATAGTAAAAGTAGAGGATCATTCAACCCAGAAATACAGGGAAACTGATCCTTGTAAATAGCACCCTTTATAGACTCATGGATATTTTAAGAGCAAGATGTGCTAGAAAGGAAAATAAGGCAATCTCTTAATGCTGTGCCTTTTCTTCCATTACATTTTTAGATTATATATTATCCCTTGTTTATTTCTGTAGCTGGGGAAAATATTTTTATTGAAATAGATTGTTTTTTGAAGTTTGCTATATTAGGTAAAAATAAATACCAAACTTCTCTGTCTTCAGTTTAATAGAAAAAAAAAATCCCTTGTTACTCTGTTTCTGCCTTACTGTTAGTAGAAAGATTTATGATTAAGTAATTTTAGTAGGACAACATTAAGAACAAAAACATGAACCAAAATACTTTTTAAAATAAATATACACATTTTTACTATATATAGACACATATATAAAAGTATATATACATATATGTATATATGTGACTTCAATAACAGGAAAATAGATTTTCCAGATTAACAATCTAAACATCTCATCCATAACAAAAGGTTAGGCTCTATACCAATGCTTGAATGAAAACTGTAATATCATCCATTTAAAAAAATGCCAACACATGCATAATTTTAGGCTGTAAAAATGAAAATATTTCAGAATTGATTAACAAATGGTGGAAGTTAAAGTTGTCTCTTCCCGACCTGCACTTTGTTTTCTGTCTCTTGCCTTTTCTCACATTTTATTTTTCCTTCCTATCTCAACAATATACCCCACCTGCAGTGTGCCCAATGTGGACACATACCTGCTTTTTTCAGGCACTGTTTTGGACAACATTTCCCTACTGAGCATTAAATCACTTTTTCTTAAATACGTACTAAAGATTTCCATGGCTGAAAAGCTAGTTCCACATACATTAATAATCCTTGAAGAATTAAATCAGATACAACCTCTACATCAGCACAATATTTCAAGGTGGTAAGGGAGTGCTACTGCTGGGTTCGTCTTCACTTAATAACTTTATTAATGATGTGGATGAGTGAACAAATATGAAAAGAAAATTTATAGGTATTACATACGTAGATTCTGCAGAAACAAATAGGCTGGAAGGTAATGACTGTAGAATGACCTAGAGAGGTTAAAAAAAGAAAATAGTAGTCCAATATTATTCCACTTTTAAGTAAATGAGACCATTAAGCTCTTTAAAATAACCAGTAAATAAAAACTCAAAGCAATGATAGCTACATCAAAAAGTGAGGGAAGAGGGGAAATTATATGTTGCAATGTTACAGAGTACATTAAAGCATTCAGTATATTTCCTGAAAATTTCATAAGCACAGTTCTTAATGTTTATTCATAAATAAACAAAACCACACCAAAAGCCATAGTTCATTTGTTTCTAACTAAGAGTACAAATTATTTATGCGGAAAAGTACATATAAGCTCACATAAATAACACGAATAATGTTTTCATTGTGAAGATATTCATAACGTTCAAATGACAAGGTCTTAGGAACTCTGCACCTTCATTAATTTTAATCAATATTTAACAATCAAGATTGTTTTCAATAAATCATGATCTAATAATGAAAGGGGGAAACTATTTGTTTTAACTTTCATTTCAGTTTTACCCTTTACTCACAAGTTGAAATTCATTCTCACTCTTTGCAAACTATTTTGAAACACTTCCAGGTAAAATTCATATAAATATTTTATTTTTCCTAATTTTTGGAAAAATTTTAGACTATTACAATCTGAGTTAATAGCCTAGTTCCTTTGTTGATCCAGTGTAAATAAATATTTCTCTTTTCTTGCTGTATTAAAAAACCCACAGTCTCTATAGCCAAGTCTATATCTATATCGATATCTATCTGTATCTGTATCTATCTATGTGTATCTCTATCGATGTATGCATACACAAATAATATCTGTGGAAGAATTTTTTTTCATGTAGTGTAATATCCACAGCTCTTCTACTTTAACCATAACTCAAGTTAATAACATTTTATTGTCTTTTGTTAGTTTTACCTGGAAAAGAAAGCACATCATATACAATATTATAAAATAGAAATAAAACTAAATATAGTGTTTTAGAAGGTAACAAAGTTTTATGTTTAAGGATATTAAATAAAATCTATTTCTTCCAGTATATTTTTTCACAATCTGTCTTAAATGGAATCTTCAGATATCTTAACAAGTTGACTACTAGATTTTGTAGTGTATTCCAATCAGATATCTATCTGAGGCCACTCTTTTTTTTAATAATCTAGGCTTCTGTAGACAATGTGGAAACATTTTTAAAATGATGACGCCCTCCTTTTCCTTCGTAGCTAAATTAGTACACAAAATTCTAAATATTTCCTTAGTTTTAATAATAATAAAGCAATATAAGATTCACCCTCTGTATTCAATTCTTTGTTACCAATTCTGCTATAATTAGAATTTTTGAAATTCTTAGTTATAACCTTTATTTTTGATAATTGCATTTAAAATGCAATGATAAAGCAAATAATTAAAATGCTAGGAATAAAATTGTCCTTTATTAGTTTATCATAAAGTTCCATAAATTTCAGCTCTCCTTGATTTCTCACTATTCTAGTTCATCAATTTTGTAATTAATCATTAAACATTATTCTTTCTCTATATTAAAAATATTAGCAATTAACAAATCCCTATTTAATATTATATTCATTGTTTTAGTTTGATGCTTTTTTTTTTTTAGTGATATGTACAGAAGACAAAAAAATGATGTGCAGCCTTTGTGTTCCATTTATTGTTGCGTAAAATAAAATTTCATCAATCTTGGATAAAAATTCTTAGGCCTATGATTATATTTGAAGGAAACACTAACTTCTGACATGATTATTTAGAACACACATTTTCTTAACTTGTCTTCCATTTTAATGGAGCTATAAATAGCTTTGGCAAATTTTTCTGCTTTGCTGTTAATTTAACTCAGTAGATTTATTGAAATTTTAAGACACCACGTTACGCAAGATTTAGGGTATGTGACTACTCTTTCCTCCTGTGTGGAGGTCGACATTGCCACAGTCTAATATCATAGTTCCCCTAAGTGGTCCCCTCCCAGAAGTGAGTTGCAAGTTCCTGCTGACTTTCAGAATTATTTCTCCATGTTTATGTCATTTTGATGCAAGAGAGGTCAATACACAGGTATGTCATCAAAATAATATTTAGACTATGTCATTCCCACAAAAAACAACTTATATGCCATGTTTTACTCACTACCAAAGTCTTGTTGAATACTACTTGTTTCATTCCTCTAGCCAGGAGACAACCTGGCAGGTATACTGCCTGAGCACCAAGAAGTTATCATATAATTTGCGTTTCACTGACCTCTCTTACCTTGTCAAATTACCCACAATAATTTTGGTAAAGTTGCATCTAACTTGGTATGGACTAAAAATACTTGCGTCGCCCCCAAAATTTGTATGTTAAAACCCTAATTCCACTGAGATGATATTTGGAAACAGGGCCTTTGGGAAATAATTAGGTCATGAGTCTCTCTCTCTCTTTCTCTCTCTCTCTCTCTCTCTCTCTGTCTGGTCTCTCTCTCTGTCTCTTTATGAGGACATGACAAGGAATGGAGGTTTTACCTGTAACCATTGACTGGCACCTTTATCTTGGACTCTCAGCCTCCAGAACTCCGAGAAGTAAATTTCTATTGTTTAAACCAGTCAGTGTATGTTGTTTTTGTTGTTGTTATAGCAGCTTGAATTAAGACACAATTTTCCTAAAACTTAAAAATGTCAGATTGGTGGATAAAATTGTATTTCATTGTGCTTTTTTCTTCAAGCCTTATACCTCTGACTCCAAACTCATAGTAACCAGTGTAAGACATGGTAGAATCTTTCCACTAGTGCTTGGGACACTATTTATAGTATCTACCCAATCTAATTTTAATGAAAAAGTTGAAGGTTGGTATAAAAAAATGTTTATCATCTAGGAGTTCCAGGCTCAATTCAACATACTTGTGATGGTCTCATGTAGTAGCAGTGACAGTCAACTACAAATGGTGCCTGAACAGGGACATTTCAGAGACTATCAGGGACATACAGAGACCTGAAAGGACCTGGAGGGACCTGAAGAGGCCTGCAGGGATAAACAGAGATAAGTGGAGGTAAGTACAGAAAAGTAAGTAGAGATAAGTAAGTAGAGAAAAGTAGAGATAGGTAGGGAAAGACGGGGACTTGCAGGAACTAACAGGTACCATAGGGACAGACAGAGACAGATAGGAATAGATAAAGACTAGCAATATAAGGTCAGTGCCCTGAAGAGGTACTGGTCTGTGTCCTAAAGAGGTACAAAAGTAGAGACTAGCAAAGACTAGGAGAGATTTGGAGGAACAGACAGGGACAGATAGGGACAGATAGGGTCCTATAGGACTAGAGCGAGGAAGGTCTGCTGGAACAGAAAAAAACTAAAACCAACTAGATGAACGAGAAAGCCCATTACAACTCTGTTGGCAGCGACATAAGGTTAGTTCTCTAAAAAGGTACTGGTCAGTGCCCTAGAGGTACAAAGAATGGGAAGTTTTTAAAACAGGGAAACGAGGAAGAATTTGGCTATTTCTTTTCTCTTTTTTGTTTGTTTGGAGTTTTGGTATGTACCATCTTTTTGTTATTTAGAATTTTTTGCCCCACCTACAGTGCCTATCGAAAATGGTGAACAGAAGAGGGAGAATGAAAATTGCCCTGTATCGTCTTCTTTGGTGGCTACAGAAAGGCTAACTTTAGCTTTGGCTTTCATGGATTGTAAACGTGCACTGGCACCTGTGAGATGTGCAGAGGACTTGGGAGGCTTTCTCAGAGCTTGTCAAGATGTGGGAACTGAGCTTCATTGCTCTGCAGTATTGACTCAGGCAATAGCAAATTTGGTGGCTGACAGATCTAAAAGAAGCCAAGGGTCAAGCCCTAAAGTGGGAAAGTGTCATAAGTGTAGAAAACTTGGACGTTTCAAAAGAGAATGCCGTCAGACCTCTGTGAACAAGAGATCTTGTAACATAGTCCCCCTCTTAACAGAAAAAAAATGCCGGACTTTGCCCTTGATGCAATAAAGGAAATCATTGGGCTAATCAACACCACTCAAAATTTCATCAAAACGGCACCCCCCTGTTGGGAAGCAAGAAGGGGGCCTGGACCCGGGCACCTCAAACTATGAGGGCGTTCCCTGTCCAGGCCACAACTCCGTTTCAGGGGTGGGTTTCCAGAGGCACATGGATTCCCTCTCCCCAGGAACACCTGGAAACGCAGGATTAGATCTCCCAGAGAACCAATTACATTAAATGAAAGAAACAAACTCACTAAGATTCACATTGGTATTTGGGGATCTTTGCCAACAAGATACATGGGATTGATTTTGGTAAAAGCTGTCTTAACTTACAGGCCCAGGAGTTGTTGATTTTGATTGTGAAGGAGAAATTCAGGTAGTGGTAATGTCACAAGATCTTTGGGTTTTTGAACTGGGAGAATATGTTGCTCAATTTTCGCTTCTTCCCTGTAAATTGTACCCTTCTCCACATAAGAAGAAGCGAGGTGGTCAGGGATTTGGAAGTGCAACTAGGAGAGAGATTTATCTATCACCACCCATAGCATCTAGTGGACCCACCTGTACAGTGCAAATTGAAGGTTTAAGGACTGCTTTTTGCTATACTGTTTTACGAGAAGGATAAGCCTCGATTTGCTTTCTCTGTGCCGTGTGTTAATCAGAAAGAGCCTGCTTCTTGTTCTCAGTGGAAAGTTTTACCCCACGGCAATTAACCAAAGAGGCAGAAGCTGAGTTACAAATGTTTCAGCAATGGCGTGCCTCCCGGCTACAGCAAAAAAAATAAAAAATAAATAAAAAAGAAAACACTTTTGATTCTGTTTGGTAGATTTACTAACGTGGGGACGAGGGTATACTTACGTCTTTGCAGAAGATGAACAAACCGAGTGGGTGCTCCCAAGGTGTGTACGACCGTTGAACAGGAGACTGGAGGGACCCATGGATCCCAACCATGGACCTTGTTCCCCCGGTATGAACCATGAACCAGTTGAATCTGAATGCAAAGATGGAATGAGGACCACTAGAAGCAGGGAGCTCTCTTCTTCCCCATGCTAGCCTTTCCTTAAAACAGTTTCTTTTGTTTTTTGTTACCATTTCTATGTTCGTCTCTTCATTCAGTCTAGTAATGACGGTCTCAAGTAGTAACCGTGGCAGTCAGCCACACTTAAATCTTAATGCTTTTGAATTCTAGAAGGAACTCAAAAAGAGACAAACAAGTCAGTCATAGTAGTAATACATGGAGAATGAATTGTGAAATCTAAGAGACTGAATATCATGTCAAGCATAAGCTTTTTCAAAGCAATTAAACTGGGCTTTTAATGACATTACTTAGACTTTCCAGACAAAATGTGTAACAATACAGCTAATTTTAATAAAATGACTTTGAAATCCCCAAACTCAAATATAATCTCATGAAGTAATTGTTTGTGATAACACCTTAATATGTTTTATACCATCATTATGAAAAACAGTGCAAGAGAAAGGAGAAAAAATTCTTTATTGTGAGTTAAAAACTTTGAAACCTAAGTCAATCATTTTTATTGTTTCAAGAAATATTTCCCCACGGCTACTTTAGTAGCAAAATCAAAGTCAGGAGCCCAGGCTTCTGTAAACAAAGTTTAATTGTATCCCCTCCCCCTTTCTTCTCTGTCTCATAATTTTCTCAGTACTTTTTAAGGGGCGAGAGGCATCCCCATGAATGACGCTGTTATAGGTTCTAAGGCAGAGGATGTGATGATGATGATCTTTGGGAAACGGTGAGGTGAATGTTGTCCACGAAGCTGCTTTCTAGTAGGGTGTCTGTGGGAAACTATACCCTTTCTGTGGGGTCTTCTGAATGTAGCTAATACTATTTTTGTTTGGGCTGGAAGTTTTTTATTATTATTGTTTTTACACTTCAAGTTCTAGAGTACATGTGCATAACGTGCAGGTTTGTTACATATGTATATATGTGCCGTGTTGGTTTGCTGCACCCATTAACTCATCATTTACATTAGGTATTTCCTCTAATGCTATCCCTCCCCCATCCCTCCACCCTACGACAGGCCCCTGTGTGTGATGTTCCCCGCCCTGTGTCCAAGTGTTCTCATTGTTCAATTCCCACCTGTGAGTGAGAACATGCGGTGTTTGGTTTTCTGTCCTTGTGATATTTTGCTGAGAATGCTGGTTTCCAGCTTCATCCAAGTCACTACAAAGGACATGAGCTCATCCTTTTTTATGGCTGCATAGTATTCCGTGGTATATATGTGCCAGATTTTCTTAATCCAGGCTATCGTTGATGGACATTTGGGTTGGTTCCAAGTCTTTGCTATTGTGAATAGTGCCTCAATAAACATATATGTGCATGTGTCTTTATAGTAGCATGATTTATAATCCTTTGGGTATATACCCAGTAATGGGATGGCTGGGTCAAATGGTATTTCTAGTTCTAGATCCTTGAGGAATCGTCACACTGTCTTCCACAATGGTTGAACTAGTTTACACTCCCACCAACAGTGTAAAAGTGTTCCTCTTTCTCCACATCCTCTCCAGCACCTGTTGTTTCCTGACTTTTTAATGATCGCCATTCTAACTGGTGTGAGATGCTATCTCATTGTAGTTTTGATTTGCATTTCTCTGATGACCAGAGATGATGAGCACTGTTAAGTTCTATCCTCTCCATATGTCCATGGGGCTGTTGGAAATATTCTTTTTCTGGGCTTCATGCTGTGCCCAGAGCATTTCCTTTTTCCTTCTCCTTTTTAAGGCAAGGATGCATCTGTTTTCATAAGGTTTGTGATAAAACAACACTCAAGTTTTGCAAGTTACATGATTGTCATCATCATCGCACTAATTTTTTGTGAAATATGCATTTTAATTACTTCCAAGAGGGTTTATTTCTAATGAAAAAAATTAAACAATAAATAATTTTAGACTTACCCCATGCAAGAAATTACAAATTCACTGAAGCAAACATGTTTAGGCTACACTGTATACAATCTACAAATTGCCTGCTCAGTCTCAGTTTCTTGCATATATTTCTCATACATCTAAATGTTAATTTCCACACTTCTGTCTCTCTGAATCCCTGGCAAATGGCAATGGCTAGTGACTTTGCATTCACCTATCAGAAAAACATGAATCCGGACACACTTCCGGGAGCATGGGACGTGGTAGGAATTTACTGGATAATAGGAACTGATATGTTATTTTGAGAGTGCTAAAATTCTCCCAGTGAATGTAACTTTGCCTATATTTTATATAACTTATTGGTTTTGGTTTGATAATTAAAAATATCAAAATTATCCTGGGGCAGGAGCCAAGGATGGTATTATACAGTGAGAAGTGAGTCCCACATGTCAGTCTTGTCATTTTCTTCCTCAGATAAAGTGCAGAATTTTGTCATCAGTAATATGAAAGAGAGATTTTACAGAAAAATTGCCAATTTTTGTCCATGAAGATGAGGGCAATATGCTAAGTATCAACGGACTAAAAGATGGCATATATTTTTTAGTGGGACATCCATGCAAGACTGCATTTCTTACCTGTTGACTATTACAGTAAATAGAAAATAATTATTTTAATTAAGCGACTACAATTTAGGGCATTTGTTGTAGAAATTTACAAATGTTTCACATTGCTTGACTTCAGGGGGCGCCATTTTTACATCATCCATTTCTAATAGCATGGCCAAGAGTATACTCCAAGTAACAAATGAGGTATAGCATATGAGACAAAGTAGAAACACTTAAAGGGTTAAAGAAATTTTCACCCGTATCTCTATGATGCAAAGTAAAGCAAAAGACAAAGAAACAAGCAAAAAAGAACAAGTGGTCGCCAAGCTGGACTGCAGTGATAAAACCATGGCTCACTGCAAACTCCGCTTTCTGAGCTCAAGCAATCCTCCCACCTCAGCCTCATGAGTAGCTGGGACTACAGGTGCCCACCACCACTCCTGGCTAATTTTTGGGTTTTTAGTAGAGACAGATTTTTGCCACATTGGCCAGGTGGGTCCCAAACTCCTGAGCTCAAGCAATCCACCCACTTCGGCCTCCCAAAGTGTTGAGATTACAGGCATAAGCCACCACACCCGGCCGCTGCATTTTTTTTTAATGGGAAATAACAAGCATATTCATTACATATAAAATGATATATTTAGAAATTTTGTAGGCTTTATAAATTCTGTTGGATAATGGAAAATTTTTTATTGTATTTTTTGTGTATGAGAACATATGTTATAAAGTAAAATGTACATAGAGGGAAATGGGATTGTGAGGATAGTAACCATAGGTGAGGAGATGGATGAAAGAAAGGTCTTACACTGCTATAAGGAGCTGTTACTATATCTTCTTCATATTTTTATAAAACATATCTTATTAGAAGACTTAAGTTACTTATTTTTTTCTTATATGTATATATTCACCTCCATTTTGAAGGCTATTAGTCTGGGAAACCTACAAGAACATTGCCGTAGGGAAGCTCAAGTATGTTAACAACAACAAAAATAGTTCTGTGAATGCCTTTACATAATATAAGGTCTACATATTCTCTCTAGATCTGTGCGCCGTAAGACTGGATTTTGAAAAGCTGAGGCATAGACTGATAGCTCTTTACCACACTTGTTTTTTCTTCTTTCTGGATACATAGCTTGGCTATATTTCCATGCAACTGTGTCCCGGTTAATGTGTACCACTTTTAGAGGGTGGTACATATAAATGTTTCTTCCAGTTCTTTCAACATGTGTCATTTGAAAAAGGAGAACTCTGAAGCCCTCTAGGAAGTTGGAGCTACAATACTGGAGGCCAGTTTCCTGAATTACTCCCTGGTAAAAGCCACCCAGACAAGAAATGCCTTTATTTGAATGTTATTAATGAGAAACACATTTTAAACTTTCAGCCACTTTAACTTTGAGGATTGTTTGTTAAAACAGCTGGTGTTACCCAAACTGTTATAGGAGTCTACTAAATATCATTTCATTTTTTTCCCTTCTCAAACTCAGAATGAATTGGGAGATAGCCGTGGGCATTAAAACTGTTTCAAGAAGTGCAACTTAGCGTTCAGGGCTGACCTCATGAGCTTCCAGAGACATCAGAGTAAGTGACCCTTATTCTAGTTTCGAAGCTCTGTTCTAGTTCTAAGCATGCAAATAAATTTTAAGCAGGATTTCTTAGCCTGCAGGAGCTGAGGATGATTAATAAGTCCTGCTGTTATGCATAAATGCACTGACCTATACTGTGCCCTTCAGTCAAATTGTATATTGTTTAATCGTGATAAATGAAGTGCACCAGGCACAGATAAGCTAGTCCCTGGAGTATGTCCAGATACACCAGAAAGAAGAATGACTCAAGCTGGGTGTGTAAAGCTACACTTTGGAGGATAGAGCTTCCCACAGGTGCAATGGAACTCTCACTTCTCACTTGCTCAGAAATTATGATCTGCAGTGTGAGTCTCCCCTGGTAAGGAAACGTGTCCAGCTCCTTGAAACATGTTCTAGAGAACAGCATTCATTACCCTCCCATGAACTTAAACATGCTTCTTGGCTCCTGTGCATTTTAGGTAAGTAAGCTTTGATTTCCCCAGGTGGTGTCGGTGTCTAGTCTTTTCATAAACTTGCACTTACTATTAACATGGAGAGGACATCCACAGGCCGAGATACATTGCCATGTCTTGCATTAAAAGCAAATGAACCTGAAGTTTTTTTGTAAACAACTTACGAAGTTTCATTTGATTTGATTTGATTTTTAATAATTCCCTGAATTGCTGTGATAATTAGAGTAGTGAATTCATTTCTGGTATGTTTTAAAAGTAATTCAAGGAAAATAATTTTGCAGAATCCTGATTTAGATAATATGAAGAGTGAATAGGAAAATGATGAAATTGTTGCTGCTTTTTACAGAGGCTTAGAATCATGGAAATCATTTGCTTTCAGGTATAAAAGGGAATAATTTCATTTTCTACTTTTTACTTTAAATTTCTGTTATCTATGTCTACATGCTTCTGTCCATTTCTTCATAGTTTGTTTTTTAAATAATATGCTTCTACCATTCTCTGAAAGCTATTTTAATTTTTCAGCTTGAATATAAATTGGTTGATACTGGCTGCAAATTATTTTTGGTATTCTAATTTGTCTATTTTTCTTTTTCTTGAAATGGAATAAATAAGCTTCACACACACACACACACACACACACACACACACACACACACAAACCCTAAACAAACAAAAAAAATCACACAGCACCAGCAAACTACTAGGATTTACTGTAGGATAAAAGCTCTACATGGCCCTGCATACAAACTTTCTGCATACTTCTGCAAATTTTTATGCATTACTCAATCCATTAAAAATCACCTTGGAAGAAATTGCAAACACAATAGAAACTAAATGAGATAGTCACAGAGAACAACAAAAATAGTAATTTAAGCTCCCATACAACATCAAGTGTGTTCAGTCTATTTTTGGTTCTTCGGGTTCTCTTTAAAATTGAATTGAGTTTGTATATGCATATGTATGTAGGAGTGGAGGATGGAATTAATTATCCCAAACATCCTACACTCACTCCTCTAATATTTCTTTTGTTAACATGCAAATCTGTTCTCTTCATTACGGTGATACTGCATTTACATTACAACACAATTAGAGATCATTAACTTTCTCCTTTATAATCAGCCATTTTCACAGGCCTTTGATATACAAGCACCTATAATATATTCTTACTCATCTCACACTTTCATTTACCAAAGTGTCAAAACAACATTTTTACATCATTGATATTTGTTTTAGTTTCTGCAAGCTGGCTGTTAGAAGATGATTACTTCTCTTAAATTACCTCTTACCCTCATCTTGCTATCTTTTTAAAAGGAAAGAAAAAGCACTATAAAAATCAGACACTTTGGGTTCTGAACCTTTTATTTTGTGTGAAAAGATACTTATTTATGTATGCTAAATCACACTGATGCGGAAGACAAACTGGCTCTTCGTTATTTTTTTTTGGCACTTTATAGAGGAAATGTGTGGAGAACAGATCTTTCCTAAGGTATTATATTCATGTGCCTTAAAGATTAAGAATACTCAATGCGCCAAGAAGTGCTATATACCAGAAAAGTTTGTATCAATTAATGTATCTAAATTAAGTTAAAGTTTCTTTCAATTTAATGTGCTTGCAGATGTAAAATTGCATGTTTAAGCTTTGCAGTTATGTACTAAATCTGGTGCTACACTTCTAATGTCTAAAGGTTTTATTCAATTTCAATTTATTTGTTTTATAGTTTGCCAGAATGTGCTTATGAAAGGCACTCTCAGTCATAAAAATAAAATTATAAGCAGACTGGCACATAACTATTTTTTTAAATAATAAACTTTCTGATTTTAGAGACTTGTATTCTTTTATAGGTCCTGGTTCTCTTTCACGCTCTGACCTATAAGAACCCATACAGCATGCATTGCTGTGTATGGAAAAGCAGTAAAGGGAAGTACAGCCACCTTTTAGGTCCCATGAATAGCAAAATCTCTTTGACTAATCTCTTGTTTCAGGGTATGTCCACTCCTTGTTTAAAGAATGTAACTGGCTGGGCTTGGTGGCTCACTCCTGTAATCCCAGCACTTTGGGAAGCCAAGGTGGGCAGATTACAAGGTCAGGAGTTTAAGACCAGCCTGGCCAATATGGTGAAACCCCATCTCTACTAAAAATACAAAAATTAGTCGGCCGTGATGGTGGGTGCCTGTAGTCTCAGCTACTCAGGAGGCTGACTCAGGAGAATTGCTTGAACCCAGGAGGCAGAGGTTGCAGTGAGCCAAGATTGTGCCACTGCACTCCAGCCTAGGGGACAGAGTGAGACTCCATCTCAAAAAAAAAAAAAAAAAAAAAAATGTAACCACACTCAATAGTCACTAGCACATTGTTTTGAATAGACTATATACTGAAAGATATCTGCTGGATATAGAATGACCTCAGGAAAAAGTCTAGACACTATAATCCATCTCACTTGCCAGCATTTAGCGACCTTTCAGCTTCATTACTGACTTTCAGCCAGTGTCCCTTAGGTGAGTGACTTGAGTCCTCTTTCATAATATTTGGCAGGAGAAAAGATGAGGTCATTGCTCCATCAATCCCGTCATGTCATGTCTGCTCATGTGTCATAGCTTATAAATAGTTACATGGTTCTGTCCAAGTGCAAGGGGGGCATTGCAGGTAGAGGTCTGTCTCCATGCGCCTTGAAAAGAAAATAACCAAATATCAGGGGAAAACAATAATATGAGCCATAGTGCCTGATATATACTATGACATCATAGAGATTTAATGAGTATTAATCAGGATTCAATGGCTGCAGGAGACAAACAGTTTCACAAACGAGGGTAATTAACTGGCTCATAGGCAATATCTCAAGAAAGGTGGGGTATTGTTATACTTCATGTGTTGCAGAAACATAGATGCTCCAATTTTACATGTTCTTTCTGTGTATGTAACATTCTTTGCCTTCTGGGTCTCAGCTTTATCTCTCAGGTTGACGTCTGTCACAGCTGTAGAGATAGTCACTGTCAATTCCTAGTTTCACAGTCTCCCATTTTCCAGTGGAGTCTTACTCTTTCTTTGTTTCCAGTTCAAATGTATTATTGAAGAATCCTGGTTCTTAATTTAGCTTCGGGACCTATTGAATCAGTCTGTGGAAGCTGGAATAATATGATTAGGGCAGCAGAAATGAAGAATGCTTCTTTAGACCAATCACTATGTCCATGAGGCAGACTAAGGACTACATGACCCTAATAAATTCTAATTTCTAGAGCTTCTTATCTGGATCCTGAAGCAGTTTCGGCCTTTATACTATGAGAGACTGAATACACTAACAGACAATGGTGGTTCCACACACAGAAAATCAACTCTGACCTCTGCAGCAACCAGTCTGCAGCGATTGGTCCAAATGCTTAGGAATTGGTGGGTAACTTCCAGCTTCCCTAAGTGTTTCCCTCCAGCTTCCAATTTAGAACCAACCAGAGAATGCTAATTATGCAGCTTCACCCATCAAATAGGATGTTTTGCTTCTAGTTATCCAACCTTTAGATTCCCCATGACAATAATTTCCAACCAGGGCATTCCTGCAGCCTTCTGGTTTTCCCATGATAAAGCTTTCTCACTGCCTGCCTGCCTTTGATTCGTTGCCATATTGCAAGTGATGGTGGCCAACTCCCTGGCTACAGCAAGCTCTGACTGAATAACCTGTATTTCTTTTCATTTGAGCAGTCTTAGCTTATTTTTATAACTATTGAGGAAACGTTGTAGCAACCCTTACACTAAATGAACTTAATTATGCCAAACCTTTACTTACTACTTAAATAAATACTCTTCCAGACAATGTTACCAAACAGTGTCCCCTTTGTTGTGAAATCTTGTAGATACTGTTTAATTAGTAGAATCCTCTTACTTTCTTTTCCCTGTCAGTTTTACAGTATCCAACTGGTCCCGTGTATGATAGAAAACATTTCTATAAGGTAACACAGTATATTTCAACCCACACTATTACTATTGATGAGATTACTTTGCTATTCACATCTCATAACATTAGCAAAAATGCACAAATCTTAAACTGCCTTCTTTTTCCCCTCCAGGATGAAGGACAACCACATATTTAGCTGACAGTGATTCAAACTCTCATCTTGTCCAAAACTGACTTAAATGGCATAACTTTAATTAACTCTGATCTTACATTATCTGTTGACAGTTTTCACCTAGAATAGAGAAAATTAACCTTGTTTTGGATATTCTCTTATCTCTGAAGACTCCATCTGCCTGGGTTGCTGAATCAATTTTTGTAACTGGAACTCACAATCCAGCCTGAGGCAAAAAGTGAAGAGTATATGAGAGAGAGAACATTTATGTAGATAGTAGACAAGCACTAGAAATTGTGCATGATTTTGGAATGAAGGGCTCTTAGGTTCATTTTCGACTCTTAGCTGCAAGTATAGAAATTAAAAAGAAAATTAATGTTTTATCTGACTCCTTAAGAAATTATAAGTTAATTTAAACATATCTACTCCAGTGAAATAGAAATGAAATCTAAAGTTAATTCTCAGGCATATTGCTTTGCAAGAAATGCTCCTCTTCATAGAAAGCTGCCCAAGTAAACAAAATACTCCCTTACTGTAAACATTTATTCCTCTTTATGAAAAGTTACTTGTAAAAGAATTTTAACTAGGTATTGAGATTTATTTGACAGTTCAATGATAGCCACTCGGTGGCTCCTAAATCCGTACAAATAACATTAGCAATCACACTGTGTGGATCTACCTAAAATACTAAAGGTATCTCAGAATCAGTGTTACTAAGATACCGTGGATGAGTTTGTCTAGAGAAGAGCAAGCATGCCTTATCTGGAAATTCTGTAACCACCACAATGCTGATTAATCTGTAAAAGTGGGTCAAAACTTTCAACCACTATCACAGGCACTTTAACCCCCTATAAATGGACATTGTACAAATACCTTAGTCCCAAGGAAACCAATATGTCCTGGAGATTGTTTGTGAATGTCCCTAGTGGAGCAAAGCCTAAGTATAAGAATCTTTTTGGTGTGTTTTCCCCACCTGGGATCTCCTGTCAACCCTGTCAGCTGAAGGAAGGGCTCATTTTACAAGGAAGTGTTTTTGACGATTTTGCATGGTTGTCTTTATCTCTAAAGCATAATTACACTTATAATCTGAAAAGTATATAAAAGATAGAGATATTAAGTTGTTTGTTAAAAATAAGTAATCTGAATGTTCAGAATGACTTCATCTCCCTTGTTCTATAGTGCTTCTTTCAGTGTTACTAGCCATGTGATCCTCAGCTTTAAATCTTACAGGCTTTTTCTTGTGAAGTGGTAACTGTAAGAACCATGAACTTGGATCTAGTTACTACATTCGCCAATTCTTCATTTTGTGGTAGTTGTTGTTATTTTTCTTTATGAGACAGGGTCCTGCTCTGTTGCCCAGGC
The DNA here is from genome assembly GCF_000001405.40 of Homo sapiens. Taxonomy (NCBI): domain Eukaryota; kingdom Metazoa; phylum Chordata; class Mammalia; order Primates; family Hominidae; genus Homo; species Homo sapiens. Next base: position 447,966 of record NW_025791777.1, on the reverse strand, counting down.
TGATGTACAGTGGCATGATCACGGCTCATTGCAGCCTTGAACTCCTGGGCTCAAGCAATCCTCCAACCTCAGCCTTCTGAGTAGCTGGAACTACAGGCATGCACCACCATACCTCACCATTTTCTTTTTTTGTATATATACATTTTTTTTTCGGTAGAGAATCAGTTCTTCATTATTAAGTTTATAAAATACCAGCCAGAGGCCAGGCGCAGTGGCTCACGCCTATAATCACAGCATTTTGGGAGGCTGAGGCAGATGGATCACTTGAGGCCAGGAGTTCAAGACCAACCTAGACAACATGGTAAAATCCTGTCTCTACTAAAAATACAAAAAAATTACAAAAAATTAGCCAGGCATGGTAGTGCCTGCCTGTAGTCCCAGCTACTTGGGTGGCTGGGGCATGAGAATTGCCTGAACCCAGAAGTCAGAGGTTGCAGTGAGCCGAGATCATGTCACTGCACTCCAGCCTGGATGACAGAGAGAGAAGCTCTCAAAAAAATAAAAATAAAAATACAGCCAGAGATCGATTTAACTGTTAACTATTATTTGATGTAATTAGCTACATACCTATCATATAATTAAAATTCAGTATTGAGATGGTTGTCATAGGGACACTTCAAACCAGATTAAGTTTATTTTAAAAGTGAATTGAGAGATTTTACTTTATAAAAAAAAAACCAATTTGGTTAGTTTGCCATTTAGGCTTCTAATTTTGATCTGAGGCCTGCTAACCCTGGAGATTACACAAAGACTTTGTGAGGCGTACTGCGGCCAGGCAAAGACTTTTAAAGAACAGGTTTCCAGGTGTCACATTCGAATACTTCTTTCATCATTCTTGCTGTCCCTCTTTCATTTCTTCTTTTTCAAAAGAATTCTTCTCCCACAATGTTTCTTTTTTTAAAAGAGAAAAATATATCTCCACTTTTTTTAACTTTACCTTGGTGCTTTGTCCCCAGGTGTTGAAATTTCCAGGATGCAAAACGAAGGGGCAATTCAAAACATTCATCTCCACTTCTCAAAAGTAAGTCACCTTGATGACTGGGTAACAAAATCTTGCTAATCATTTGTGTTTTTTGTTTTGTTTTGTTTTGTTTTAGATTTTTAATTACTTTTAAAAATTTGAAGAAATACCTAGTTGAATTGTCAATGGACACCTGCAATTTTTGTTGTCATTCTTCAAAGGAGTTCAAAGAATCAAATGTCATTGTTATAACAAAGCCCTTCCAATCCTATCCACTTATTTCTGAGAACAAGATTTCTCAGTTCTTAGATCTTATAAAAATAATGATATAGGAATAAGAATGATGTGGAACCTGCCACCTTCTAGCAATAAAAAAGGTTCATTTATAAAAACATGAATTTATAGGCAAAACATTAGGAGGTAAATTTCAAAAAACGCTTTTGCAAATAATTAAATTTTAAAATCTGTCACATGTTTATGTTTTAATTCAACTTTTAATAAAATTTGAATGTATGGAGGCATTTTTTATTTTTTCCTCCTTATCACTCTGGGCCATAAAGCTCCACTTCTTTCAGAACATGTGCATGAGATATTTATACAGCTCTTCAGCTAAGGTTACTAATATGCAGCCCTGTGATGCCACCAGTTATAATTCTATTACTGCATTATTACTCTTTCAATTAAAAAGAAATAGTAGAAAAAACAAAGCAAACAAACAAACAAAAGGCAAAATAATTGCATTTCAGAGGATGTCTGTTCCCGTGTAAGGTGCGCCTGTCCTTGCTTCAAGGGGAGTGGGTTACTTTTTTTTAAGTTTTTATATTTTCAAGATTTGGGGTTTGATACAACCATTTTTTTTTTAACTTTAAATTCTGGGATACATGTGCTAAACGTGCAATTGTGTCACATAGGTATACATGTACCATGGTGGTTTGCTGTACCTATCAACCTGTCATCTAGGTTTTAAGCCCCACATGCATTAGGTATTTGTCCTAATGCTCTCCCTCCCCTTGCCCCCCAGCCCCCGACAGGCCTTGGTGTGTGATGTTCCCCTCCCTGTGTCCATTTGTTCTCATTGTTCAGCTCCCACTTATGAGTGAGAACATGTGCTGTTTGGTTTTCTGTTCCTGTGTTAGTTTGTTGAGAATGATGGTTTCCAGCTTCATTCATGTCCCTGCAAAAGACATGAATTCTTTCTTTTTTATGGCTGCATAGTATTCCATGGTATATATGTGTCACATTTTCTTTATCCAGTCTATCAATTGATGGGCATTTGGACAACCATATTTTTTGTTGAGTTTTGTTTCTTTAGTGGCTTAGCCATCTCTGCTGGTTTTAGTTAGTTCCAGCTGAGTCAATGGCTCATCTTAGACTGCATTTCTACCACCAACCTCTGCAAGGAAATACTCCACAGGACTTCTGGCCTAGACCTGAGGTTGCCATGGATTCATATTGAGCAAGTGAGTTCCATGTACACATCCCAGTCTTTCCTCAAGTAGCCTGCACGCCCTGTCTCCACCCTCAGTTTAAGAACACCAATGAGGTTTTTGAGATGTTCTTCTTACTCTCTGCCAAAGCAAGATATCTGATAGAAGGAGAAACCCTGTATTGACTCCCTGGCTTTTTGTTTATTCCAAAATTATGCTCTGTCTGGCTGACACATTGTGAAATTTAAGGGGAAAATTAGACCTTTTCCTCATTTCACTTTCATTGTTTCTTTTTTTAAAATCTATTGTGTATTTCATTCATTTTGGGGGGGGAACAAATTCTACAAACTGCTTTAATATTGTCCTTTTTTTCTAATATTCACATTAACTTTTTATGTAAAACATACCAATGCTTTTAATAAAGCTTACATAGGAATAAACTATTATAGACCTGCATAGATATAAGTACACATGTATTAATCTACATTAAAATAATGGATTTTATTCTGCGAAGACTCCAAGTTGCTCCTGGGTGCTAAGTGAAGCACTTAGGGAAATGTGTTCAGTCTTTGAGGTCATAGGAACATTAGATTATATCAAAGGAAACCTGGAGCCATCAGCTAAGTGGCCCTTCTGTCCTGTAGATACATAAAAACTAATGTGCTCCGCTATGCGGCTCACTTTCTGCTATTAGATACTATGAGGCACTAAGAAAAAACTACTGCCTGCATCATATCTTTCTTCGGTTTGAGATAAAGAGAATGGCCAGAACTGTATACAAGTCATGAAAGGCCCTGGTGTACATTTTTCAAAGTAGTGCAGATTGTGTTGAAATTATCAGTTTATCTTGCATATAAAAAAAACGTATATACACTTTGAGTAAAATATAAAAAGTGGTAAATATCACGAAAAGTTTGTTTTACTGTAACCATTTCTTGTTCTATTCTATTTGAGTATTTGCTCTATATATTTGATATACTTCCAGAATGCATCCTATTCACAAAGCAGGCAATTACTCTATCAGTGAATACAGTTGCAGAGTCTCTCCTCTATTCAGCTTCATTTGTACCTCCACTCCAGCCACTTGCAGAAATGGCGGATGCATCAAAAAGACTGGTTACAGGCCTTGCACCCTCCAAGCGGCTAATTACCAAGATGTTAAGTAAATGACCATTGCTCTTTATCATCCCCAATGGCATATAAAAAGGATGTTAAACAGGTTGTCTCATGTTCCCTATACATTTATTCATTCCCGTGTTAAAATACGTCTTATGGGAAAAACAAAATTCACCAAAGAATGAGGAAGCGAACATGTGTTAACAGAGGGACTTCTGGCTAATTTTACAAAGAAGGATAAAAATTCTCAAAATATGTGTGGGGTGGATTGCGGGGGTATTACATATTCATAGCATGCCGCAGAAATCATTTTAAGTCTATCAAAAACAACTATATTGTGCATTTTCAAATAAGCACATATAAAAGATGAGCTATAAGAAGAGAGAAGGATGCTAAAATAAATAAGTGAAAGAGAAAAATGGCTGGGCACGGTGGCTCAAGCCTGTAATCCCAGCACTTTTGGGGGCCGAGAGGTCAGGAGTTCAAGACCAGCCTGGCCAACATGGTGAAACCTGGTCTCTACAAAAATACAAAAATTAGCTGGGCATGTTGGCTCATGCCTGTAATCCCAGCTACTCGGGAGGCTGAGGCAGGAGAATCCCTTGAACCTGGGAGGCGGAGGTTGCAGTGTGCCAAGACCGCATCGTTGCACTCCAGCCTGGACAACAAGAGTGGAACTCCGTCTCGAAAAAAAAAAAAAAAGAGAAAAGTAGGTGAAAAGAAGTAATTAAATGGTAAGGAAAGAATAGGTCAGGACAGGAATCCAGGATGACTTTACTATATTTGAACCATAGAACATTAACCAAAATCTTATTTTTCTTCCCCTCAGTAGTTTGAAGTTGAGCAATATCTGTGTCTTTTGCATCACACTCTGAAATTGCAAATTATTTCTTGTCCTTTCAGATAAATGATTATGCAAAAGAAGCCCAGAACTGGCACAATTTAGAAGGTTTGAGGTTGCTCTCATGTGTTTGTAGGGTATGCTATCGTCATCCCATAGCCTAAGGCTGTAGTATTGGACTCTCTGGAAGCAGCTCTGAATGTGATAGGATGGAGATAATTGAAGATACAAGCAGCCATTATGTGTCTGAATATTGGTTTACTAGAAGAGCTAGATGTGTAGGAGCACATCCTTACTTGACAAATGTCTGACAGAATGACCTGGCACCATTACTGTTTTAAATGTGTAATATGCTATCTCAACTGGGACATTTTATGAAAGCTATAGGTTGTGACCTACTGTTCATTACACTTAGTTTCTGAGGTGCCAAAGACTGATGTGTGAGCCAAAGTTCATTATTGTTCTTCACTGGATCTTTGCATTTATTAGTCTGATGTTAATGGGATTCGCTCTTGAGTTGGATTGATGTTCAAGGTTAGAGCCACAGATGAGCTCCTGATCTTGACCAGAAATGATTTGCCCATTGCCAATTAGAAGAAGAAAAGGGCAAGGTGGAGGTTGAACTTGGAGTTAATAGGAATAATAGATGCTGAGGGTGCAAGATGAAACTCAGTAAGATAATACACTCTATTCTTAGACTGGCAAATTTACATAGTAAAGAGAACTTTTATCATTGTCATCCAAAGAAAATATAATCCTAAGAGAAAAAGTCCAGCTAGTTTTTTTTTTCTTTTTTGTTACCTGCTCATAGGATATAAACTTATTTCTATCACACACAGGTATCATTTTCTACACTTAAAACACTTCTTCTATTTCACACAAATGACAAAAAATGTCCTTCAATTATTTTGACACACGATCTCTCAAGATACATATCGTTTTATATCAACTATAAATACAAATTTAAAATTTTGATAAAAGAGAAATAACTGGAATAAAACAAAGCAGTATTTTTTAAAACTATAGCTTTTCCCCTAAGATATTCTCACACTAAAGAATTTTTCCCAATTCTTCTCCCCCACTGAGAAGTACAGTCTTCAAAAATTAGTCCAGGTATTAGTGTTTACCAAGGAGGAATATTTTGAACAAGAATAATCTGATGCTACTTTTCATTTGTCAAGTACATTTTCTAAATTATATTCTAATAAGAGAGAATATGCACATTTGCATGTCATGATTCTTATAAATATTTACTGAGTACTGTCTCTCTGTAAAGAACTACAGTGGGATGGATTTAAGATATATAATACATAATTTTTCATCTTCAAATTGTTCACGTTTTGTAGAGATAGTAACTTGTGCATAAATGACTAGAATGTTAAGTTGCTAAGTGACAAGTGACAAAAATGTTTAACCTGTAAAATCTTCCCCTTGGGAAATTGAGGAATAAAAACTTCCAACTAAAGGAACAAAGATTGTCATGAGCAAAGTTGTATAAAAAATAAATTAAATGTAGGATAATAAAGGTAGTGTATTAAAGTGAGAAGGGTTAGGGTTTCTTAGGTGACAGACTGGCTTGATTTTGTGACTTGTGTGATGGTAGCAAGTTATGTAACACCTCTGAGTTTCCATATCTTCATCTGTGAAGTAGACATAGCTGAACCAACCACATGGAATTGTTGCGAGGGTGAAATGCAATGGTGTGTGCAAGTTTCTAGGCACTGTTGGACTGGATCTACTATTACGCTATACAAATGATACTTAGAATTTTTACAGTTATGCTTAATATTGTCATAATTCCAGGAAATGAGAAAAATCTCAGCAGAGGTACAAAACGGGCAAGCTCTGGGAAAAATGATCTTAGTGGGTTTATTTCAAAGGATGCTTGAAAGTGATCTGTGGAAAACAAAATTGACAAAAAGTGCATGTTGAAATGGAAATTAACGGGTCTTTGAATGTTAAGAGAAAGATAGCGGGCATGCTCTTTCATCTGTCTATCCCTGGCCCTTAGCATGCCTGGTGCTTTTCAGTGCTCCAGCTTTACGTGTTTAATCGTTTTTGTTTCATTCGAAATAAATGTTCTCATAGATATAGAAAACCAGCAGGCAATAAAATATATATTCTGAGCTGTGATTTAGTGGTATTATTACTTAGCAACAGTGTGTAGGATGAATTACAGAAAGCAAAAGTAGGGCATAATTATAATCACTAAGACTAATTATCAATATAAACTTTTGCCAGAACAATTGTAAATATATGGAGAGGTGATGCACATGAAAAACACATTAAAATACCCTAGGATTTTGCCAAAATAAGCTGTGTAATAAAACAAAGGGAGAAGAAATTGAAGAATATGATGAAGTTTAAATTGAGGTTCAAGGTGTTTTGCATGAAGAAAGATGAGAAATTTAAATTTGAGATATGATGAGTTTATGGTAGGAAATTGAGATACCATATTTTGCCAGTTGGACTAGACCTCACAAAAAGACTCAAAATAAGTATGCAGAACGCATTAGTTTAGATATATTTGAAGAGACCATGGGAAAAAAAGGAAAAAGGGAGGAGTTTAAAGAGTCAAACAAAAAGATGATGGAAAGGCAGTGGGAGACATAAAAGGGAACCAGAAATCTTAAGAGGAGAAAGTGTTCTGAAGAAACACACAAAGTCAATTACTTAAAAAGTTGAGAATCACTGGCAGTGCTGGATGATCGTGACTTTTTTCTCTATTTCAGTAAGCGGGCGATGGACATTAGAATGCAAGAGATGGATGAGGTATGGAAGTAGAAGGAATAAATGTCAACTATTATTTTAAAACATTTGCACAGAAAGCAAAGTAGGATAAGAGCTTAAAAATAAAGGTTCTGTTTATTTTCATTTTGTAGTCGTAGGGAAAATGTGGGCATGTTAAAAGAAAAGCTGAGTGTAAAAAGGGAATGAGAGGACAAATTGAAATAGACATGGGTTCAAATCCCAGATCCCACTGGACATCTCTGAGGCTTACTAGACATCATCTGTAAATATAAGATAAACACCTAATATAAAATGTGTTCAGCTATAAGAAGTTTGAGTTAGTGTATATGATTTTTAGAAAATCAATTTATCATATACAATAAAACATATATTAAATTAGACAGTTTGATGCATATTGACAATTGTATATCCCCTGCACATTTCCATCATATATGAAAACTTCTCACATGCCCTCACCATCTCAATCCCTGATCACAGGCAACCACTGATGGAGGTTCTGTCATTATGTACAGGATATATCTTTTCTAAATTTTGTATAAGTGACATCATACATGTGCATTATTTTGTTTCTGTCTTCTTTATCTCAGCATCTTGTTTTTTGAAATTTGTTCTTATTGAGTACATCAGTGGTCAGCTCCTTATTATTGCTTAGTGTATTTCATTTTAAAAGTATAATTATTACATATTGTGTGGAAAGATTTAAACATTCAGAAAATATAAAACTCAGTGCAACTATTTTTTCCTACTCTTCATGTATTATAATTCAGTCTTTTTGATAATTTTATATATATAGAAGGTATGATATTTATATTACATTTAAAATTTAGTACAACTTTTATTAAAGTGTACATATTATTTATACAATGCTTTTTTCTTTTCTATATCTATACAGCTTACCCATTTTTGAGAAGGCTGCATTTTTTTCTATAACATGTATATGTTGTACTTTACTTGTCTATATCCCCATTAAGAGATATGTTGCTTCCAGGTTTCATTATTATAAATACTGTTTCAGTGAACAGCTTTCAATATACATCTTTGTGCCCATGTGACAATAAAAGTATTTTTGTATGCATCTGCAAGTATAATAGTTATAGTGTCCATGCATTTTCAATTGGGTAGTTGTTTCAAAATAGCCCTACATTTTTCAAATAATTCTAATTCAAAGGACTGCTCCCCTTTCAAACCTGGTAAATATTGAAGTCCTTAATGCTTTTGCCAGAATTAGGCTGAATTGACAGAGCACTGATATGTAGAAGATATATATATATATACATGTATATTATATATATATTATAAATATAATGTATATATATAAAATTCTTAAAATTTAGCAAGTAACTGAACAACAAAAATGACAGATAAAAGAAGCAGGTCATGCATAGCCTATCTGCCTGAGATTTATTTAACCCTTCTTCAGAAGAGGCTTTGATTCTTGTCTCTCTGTGTCTACCTATAGACAGCATTTCTCCCAGGAAGCTTGCCCTGACCTCCTAGAATTGGTTATGTACCATTTATATATTTTTCATATTCCAATGTACATAACTCATAACAGAAATTATCACAAGGGAACAGCTGTGGTTTTATTGTTATGTCTAGCTATCCAGCTATCATCTTCACCAGACTGTAAGCTCCTTGAAGGCAGAAGCCAGATTTATCTTCATGACCTCTGTGTTTTAGATGAGGTCTCAGAGATAGAGGTCAGAATTTTCCCTCTAGGTAAATTAATTAGATTAACCTCAACTTATACAAAACAGTAGTCATTAAATTTATCCCCAGCCATCAGGAGCTTAACTACTCTGGAGAGAGAGCCAGGTGTTGGAGTAGGCAATTAAGACATCAAGACAAAAGGACATTAACAAACCTTTGAGGTTAAACTGGAAAAAGCCCTGACGGTCCAGTCCCCATCCTTTTTTTCCTTCATGAAACAGCTCTATCAAGGATCACATGGGTCAGCACAGATGTGGAGTTGTCTCACTATCAAAGGAACCCTGAACAACAGGCTCCTGCAGTTTTATGGAAGGTCAGGAAAAGGCTGGGAGCGGAAAAGCACTGAGTATTGAATCAGAAGGAAGACAATTGTCTTCAAGACTCCTCCTCCTCTCCCCATGAAAAGGAGGTCTTGGGCAAACATGCCTGGGGAAGGTCTGCCAAGGTCCCACAGTGGAGAGGCCTCCAGGGGAGGCACCAGTCAAGTGATGCTGATCTGTGTGTGAGCATGGCCCTGCAGCCCTTACTGAAACTGCCATTAGAGGACTATGCACTAGTGTGGGGAGGGCAGCTCTCCCTGTGGGACCCACTTGGTCAAGTCTTTGTCATTGTTTATGGATGGGCCCAAAAATCACATATAGGATTGAGTCTGGGGCTGAACTCTTTACTGCTCTGTCTGTATTCCCTGTCTTGGTTGACACCTAATACATGACTAAGAAACTAAGAAATCATTTTAGACGTCGTTTTTGTGTCTGTGTTTTATGCTTTGTTGGCTTGAAAACTTCATCCAATAAAACTTTAGTTATTTTTATTACCATTTCTTCCTTTATGACCCCACAGCATCCTCCATGTGCCAGGGTCCAAATCATCTTTAACCCGGACTATTGTATCAGTACCCAAATATATTCTTTCATCAAAATATATTCTTTCTCTTCTCTGGCTGTAATCTCATTCATTTCCAGGCTACTTCTTTTCAAACTAAAAAGCAAATATAATCACACTATTCTCTTTCTTCAAACACTTTCCCAATTCCTAGAGTAAAATCCCCCTTTTATAACATATAAGGCCTCAGTGACCTACCCTCAGGACTTCTTTAATTATTCTCCCATATTGTCCTATTATGTACCTGTTCCATCATCCTTACAACCCTCAGAACTCCCTAATCTGTTTTAATGCCACATTGTTATGCTCTTAATTTCCTTTGATAAAATGATTCTTTCCATTCATAAACTAGTTGATTACCACAACTTCTTAAGTATTCTATTGAAGTTTATCTTATTAGTCCATTTCACACTGCTATAAAGATACTACCTGAGAATGGATAATTTATAAACAAAAGAGGCTTACTTGACTCACAATTCCACATGGCTGAACTTATAAGTGAACTTATAATTAAACTTATAATCATGGTGGAAGGTGAAGGGAAAGCAAGGCAAGTCTTACACTGTGGCAGGTAAGAGAGAGAGCATGCAGGGGAAACTGCCACTTATAAAACCATCAGATCTCCTGAGAACCCCCTCACTATCACAAGAACAGCATAGAAAACCACCCTTTTGAGCTAATCACCTCCCACCAGGTCCCTCCCCATGACACATGGGGATTACAATTCGAGTTGAGATTTGGGTGGGGACACAGAGCCAAATCATAACATGTATCTTCTTTGCCAAGATTTTCCTTACAACGCAAAGTAGATTGACATATTTTAATTTCTTCCATCCCACCCCACCATAATATTCTTACCTCTATGACAGTGCTCATCAAAATTTGTAGCTATTATTTGTTTAAATGACTTCATTATGCTTCTTAAGAGGCATAAACTTTCTGCTATATTCATCTTTGTATGCCTGTCACACATTACATTGGCTGAGACAAGGTAAATATTTAATACATATCTATTAAATAAGAAACTTAAAAAAATAAAAGAGTGAATGAATAACTGTATCTAGGAAGTATGAAAGTGACTTATCTTTTAGCATTTTTCATCAAGGAATTAAGAAATGTGTGGGGAAAAAGTTAAGAGGCCCCAGTTAAAATGGCTTTTATCCCAAATTCAGGCAATAACAAAAGTTGGCGAGGATATACAGAAAAAGGAACCCTTGCACACTGTCAGTGGGAATGTACATTAGTATGACCCTTAAGGAGAACAGTCTGGAGGTTTCTCAAAAAGCAAAAATTGAGCTATCATATGATCCAGCAATCCCACTCCTGGGTGTATAACCAAAAGAAAGGACATAGTATATCAGAGAGATATCTGCACTCCATGTTTATTTCAGCACTACTCACAATAGCCAAAATTTGGAATCAACCTAAGTATCCATCAAGAGATGAATGAATGAAGAAAATATAGTACATATACAAAATGGAATACCATTCAGCCATAAAAAACAATGAGTTCCTGTCATCTGCTACAATGTGGATAGAACTGGAGGTCATTATGTTAAGTGAAACAAGCCAGGCGCAGAAAGACAAACTTCGGATGCTCTCACTTATTTGTGGGAGCTAAGGCTTAAAACAATTGAACTCATGGAGATAAACAGTATAAAGGTTAACAGGCTGAGAAGGGTAGTGAGGGTTTGGGAGGAAAGCGGGGCACACTAATAGGTACAAAAACATAGTTAGAAAGAATGAATAAGACCTAGCATTTGCTAGCACAACAGGGTGACTATAGTCAAAAATAATTTAATCGTACATTTAAAAATAACTAGAAGAGTATAATCAGATTGTTTGTAACACAAAGGATAACTGTGTGAAGTGATGCATATTCAATTTACCCTGATGTGATTATTATGCATGTATCAAAACATCTCATGTACTCCATAAATTTTCAAAAGAAGTATGTATAGCATAATGCTTAAAATAATATACTGTAATAGTCTACAACTTGGCAAGAAATTAAGCTTTCGTTTATTTTTGTCACAACAGGTATACTACATGCAGATTAAAATATATATTTTATATATATATATATATATATATATATATACCATTTATCTTTTAAGGGCATTTTTCATAACCTTGAAATATAAACAATAAAAATTATGAAGCAATAATTTATTTTTTTAAAAAAATCCACTTGCCAAACAAACAAGATACTCCTTCCAGGATGTCAGTAATATCAAGATAAAATGCCAGAGAATTTTAGCTGAGTATAGTAAATCAAACAGCTAATTTTTAACTTTGATGGAGGAGAAAATTAGATAAATTCTGAAAATTCATCCATCATTTTTAGAGCACTAACCTTATGTCGCTGCCAACAGAGTTGTAATGGGCTTTCTCGTTCATCTAGTTGGTTTTAGTTTTTTTCTGTTCCAGCAGACCTTCCTCGCTCTAGTCCTATAGGACCCTATCTGTCCCTATCTGTCCCTGTCTGTTCCTCCAAATCTCTCCTAGTCTTTGCTAGTCTCTACTTTTGTACCTCTTTAGGACACAGACCAGTACCTCTTCAGGGCACTGACCTTATATTGCTAGTCTTTATCTATTCCTATCTGTCTCTGTCTGTCCCTATGGTACCTGTTAGTTCCTGCAAGTCCCCGTCTTTCCCTACCTATCTCTACTTTTCTCTACTTACTTATCTCTACTTACTTTTCTGTACTTACCTCCACTTATCTCTGTTTATCCCTGCAGGCCTCTTCAGGTCCCTCCAGGTCCTTTCAGGTCTCTGTATGTCCCTGATAGTCTCTGAAATGTCCCTGTTCAGGCACCATTTGTAGTTGACTGTCACTGCTACTACATGAGACCATCACAAGTATGTTGAATTGAGCCTGGAACTCCTAGATGATAAACATTTTTTTATACCAACCTTCAACTTTTTCATTAAAATTAGATTGGGTAGATACTATAAATAGTGTCCCAAGCACTAGTGGAAAGATTCTACCATGTCTTACACTGGTTACTATGAGTTTGGAGTCAGAGGTATAAGGCTTGAAGAAAAAAGCACAATGAAATACAATTTTATCCACCAATCTGACATTTTTAAGTTTTAGGAAAATTGTGTCTTAATTCAAGCTGCTATAACAACAACAAAAACAACATACACTGACTGGTTTAAACAATAGAAATTTACTTCTCGGAGTTCTGGAGGCTGAGAGTCCAAGATAAAGGTGCCAGTCAATGGTTACAGGTAAAACCTCCATTCCTTGTCATGTCCTCATAAAGAGACAGAGAGAGAGACCAGACAGAGAGAGAGAGAGAGAGAGAGAGAAAGAGAGAGAGAGACTCATGACCTAATTATTTCCCAAAGGCCCTGTTTCCAAATATCATCTCAGTGGAATTAGGGTTTTAACATACAAATTTTGGGGGCGACGCAAGTATTTTTAGTCCATACCAAGTTAGATGCAACTTTACCAAAATTATTGTGGGTAATTTGACAAGGTAAGAGAGGTCAGTGAAACGCAAATTATATGATAACTTCTTGGTGCTCAGGCAGTATACCTGCCAGGTTGTCTCCTGGCTAGAGGAATGAAACAAGTAGTATTCAACAAGACTTTGGTAGTGAGTAAAACATGGCATATAAGTTGTTTTTTGTGGGAATGACATAGTCTAAATATTATTTTGATGACATACCTGTGTATTGACCTCTCTTGCATCAAAATGACATAAACATGGAGAAATAATTCTGAAAGTCAGCAGGAACTTGCAACTCACTTCTGGGAGGGGACCACTTAGGGGAACTATGATATTAGACTGTGGCAATGTCGACCTCCACACAGGAGGAAAGAGTAGTCACATACCCTAAATCTTGCGTAACGTGGTGTCTTAAAATTTCAATAAATCTACTGAGTTAAATTAACAGCAAAGCAGAAAAATTTGCCAAAGCTATTTATAGCTCCATTAAAATGGAAGACAAGTTAAGAAAATGTGTGTTCTAAATAATCATGTCAGAAGTTAGTGTTTCCTTCAAATATAATCATAGGCCTAAGAATTTTTATCCAAGATTGATGAAATTTTATTTTACGCAACAATAAATGGAACACAAAGGCTGCACATCATTTTTTTGTCTTCTGTACATATCACTAAAAAAAAAAAAGCATCAAACTAAAACAATGAATATAATATTAAATAGGGATTTGTTAATTGCTAATATTTTTAATATAGAGAAAGAATAATGTTTAATGATTAATTACAAAATTGATGAACTAGAATAGTGAGAAATCAAGGAGAGCTGAAATTTATGGAACTTTATGATAAACTAATAAAGGACAATTTTATTCCTAGCATTTTAATTATTTGCTTTATCATTGCATTTTAAATGCAATTATCAAAAATAAAGGTTATAACTAAGAATTTCAAAAATTCTAATTATAGCAGAATTGGTAACAAAGAATTGAATACAGAGGGTGAATCTTATATTGCTTTATTATTATTAAAACTAAGGAAATATTTAGAATTTTGTGTACTAATTTAGCTACGAAGGAAAAGGAGGGCGTCATCATTTTAAAAATGTTTCCACATTGTCTACAGAAGCCTAGATTATTAAAAAAAAGAGTGGCCTCAGATAGATATCTGATTGGAATACACTACAAAATCTAGTAGTCAACTTGTTAAGATATCTGAAGATTCCATTTAAGACAGATTGTGAAAAAATATACTGGAAGAAATAGATTTTATTTAATATCCTTAAACATAAAACTTTGTTACCTTCTAAAACACTATATTTAGTTTTATTTCTATTTTATAATATTGTATATGATGTGCTTTCTTTTCCAGGTAAAACTAACAAAAGACAATAAAATGTTATTAACTTGAGTTATGGTTAAAGTAGAAGAGCTGTGGATATTACACTACATGAAAAAAAATTCTTCCACAGATATTATTTGTGTATGCATACATCGATAGAGATACACATAGATAGATACAGATACAGATAGATATCGATATAGATATAGACTTGGCTATAGAGACTGTGGGTTTTTTAATACAGCAAGAAAAGAGAAATATTTATTTACACTGGATCAACAAAGGAACTAGGCTATTAACTCAGATTGTAATAGTCTAAAATTTTTCCAAAAATTAGGAAAAATAAAATATTTATATGAATTTTACCTGGAAGTGTTTCAAAATAGTTTGCAAAGAGTGAGAATGAATTTCAACTTGTGAGTAAAGGGTAAAACTGAAATGAAAGTTAAAACAAATAGTTTCCCCCTTTCATTATTAGATCATGATTTATTGAAAACAATCTTGATTGTTAAATATTGATTAAAATTAATGAAGGTGCAGAGTTCCTAAGACCTTGTCATTTGAACGTTATGAATATCTTCACAATGAAAACATTATTCGTGTTATTTATGTGAGCTTATATGTACTTTTCCGCATAAATAATTTGTACTCTTAGTTAGAAACAAATGAACTATGGCTTTTGGTGTGGTTTTGTTTATTTATGAATAAACATTAAGAACTGTGCTTATGAAATTTTCAGGAAATATACTGAATGCTTTAATGTACTCTGTAACATTGCAACATATAATTTCCCCTCTTCCCTCACTTTTTGATGTAGCTATCATTGCTTTGAGTTTTTATTTACTGGTTATTTTAAAGAGCTTAATGGTCTCATTTACTTAAAAGTGGAATAATATTGGACTACTATTTTCTTTTTTTAACCTCTCTAGGTCATTCTACAGTCATTACCTTCCAGCCTATTTGTTTCTGCAGAATCTACGTATGTAATACCTATAAATTTTCTTTTCATATTTGTTCACTCATCCACATCATTAATAAAGTTATTAAGTGAAGACGAACCCAGCAGTAGCACTCCCTTACCACCTTGAAATATTGTGCTGATGTAGAGGTTGTATCTGATTTAATTCTTCAAGGATTATTAATGTATGTGGAACTAGCTTTTCAGCCATGGAAATCTTTAGTACGTATTTAAGAAAAAGTGATTTAATGCTCAGTAGGGAAATGTTGTCCAAAACAGTGCCTGAAAAAAGCAGGTATGTGTCCACATTGGGCACACTGCAGGTGGGGTATATTGTTGAGATAGGAAGGAAAAATAAAATGTGAGAAAAGGCAAGAGACAGAAAACAAAGTGCAGGTCGGGAAGAGACAACTTTAACTTCCACCATTTGTTAATCAATTCTGAAATATTTTCATTTTTACAGCCTAAAATTATGCATGTGTTGGCATTTTTTTAAATGGATGATATTACAGTTTTCATTCAAGCATTGGTATAGAGCCTAACCTTTTGTTATGGATGAGATGTTTAGATTGTTAATCTGGAAAATCTATTTTCCTGTTATTGAAGTCACATATATACATATATGTATATATACTTTTATATATGTGTCTATATATAGTAAAAATGTGTATATTTATTTTAAAAAGTATTTTGGTTCATGTTTTTGTTCTTAATGTTGTCCTACTAAAATTACTTAATCATAAATCTTTCTACTAACAGTAAGGCAGAAACAGAGTAACAAGGGATTTTTTTTTTCTATTAAACTGAAGACAGAGAAGTTTGGTATTTATTTTTACCTAATATAGCAAACTTCAAAAAACAATCTATTTCAATAAAAATATTTTCCCCAGCTACAGAAATAAACAAGGGATAATATATAATCTAAAAATGTAATGGAAGAAAAGGCACAGCATTAAGAGATTGCCTTATTTTCCTTTCTAGCACATCTTGCTCTTAAAATATCCATGAGTCTATAAAGGGTGCTATTTACAAGGATCAGTTTCCCTGTATTTCTGGGTTGAATGATCCTCTACTTTTACTATCCTTTGCTAAACATGACAAAATAAGAAAATAAAAGATAAATATGAGATGAAGACCTCAAATGACATCAATTTCATTGCCTCTAAAAAGTTGTGATGATGAATGTTACCACTACTCAACTGAGTTTATGAAAAGGCAAATATACTTTTAAAAATGTAGGGGTGCTTATACAAAGACTTATGTGTTTACGTTTACTTTTTTTATAAAGCTGATTTAATCAAAAGATTTAGTTAAGGCCGGGCGCGGTGGCTCACGCCTGTAATCCCAGCACTTTGGGAGGCCGAGGCGGGCGGATCACGAGGTCAGGAGATCGAGACCATCCCGGCTAAAACAGTGAAACCCCGTCTCTACTAAAAATACAAAAAATTAGCCGGGCGTAGTGGCGGGCGCCTGTAGTCCCAGCTACTTGGGAGGCTGAGGCAGGAGAACGGCGTGAACCCGGGAGGCGGAGCTTGCAGTGAGCCGAGATCCCGCCACTGCAGTCCAGCCTGGGCGACAGAGCGAGACTCCGTCCCAAAAAAAAAAAAAAAAAAAAAAAAAGATTTAGTTAGTAATTTATTGACTCAAATACTTTATGCCTTCTATTTCACATTTTTTACAGGTTTATAAGTCTAGATACCTATGTCAATTAGTGAATTTTCTACCAAGAGTTCATGTTTTGTTGCTTAAAGGCAGATAATTTTTTTATTTAAATAATATTAAAAAGAGGAAAATATTTCAAAATACCAAGATTGGGAGGTGTCTGGGAGATTTATATGTATTGCTTTTATTAACTGTCTAGCACTGGATTTATAAACCAGCTTATTTTTTTAATTTAAAAGCTCTCTGCCTTGCAATTTAATTCACATGATCTGCATTAACCATGCCATATTCAAAATTTCATTGATAAATTCTATCCAGTAGTCAATATCGAATTGTAAACTGATGTAATGTGCTTTAAAATATGAAGATTTAATCTTTAAAATATGAATATTTGATTGAATAATTACTACCACTAAAATCATGTTTACTTATTAGAATTATCATATAGGAATTGTTTTATAATGTATATGTTAATTGAATGTGATTTCTTGATACTTAGGATATACGTTAAGTATACATAAACAAATTGGAAATAAAGTTCTGATATACTGTTCCATGAAAGTTTCAAATCTTTATATTAAAGATTACCATTTGAGTCAGAGGCAATGATAGGATTTTCTGTACTTTATCCACATGTTTATATATATACATATATATATGTTTTCATATAACCTTTCATGAGGATAGAAAAGAACTATGAATGTTTCTCCATCAGGCATCTTTCAAATACAACATAACAATAACTTCCTTAAGTATTTTATTTAGGCAAAAACTATAAAATGATGGAATGGAAAAAGAATTCTCAATGATCAAACCAAAGCAATTATATTTGATTCTGAATTTTAAAAGATTAGTCCATCAATTTATATTTAGAGGTTAGAAAACACATTCTGAGAGACAGAAAATTATATTACTTTTCTAACTTCCTGGAGAATATTGTGCTTTGTCAAATTTTACATTTATGAGAAGTTTTATATTAAAGCTATAAAATCTATCAGGGTAAGTTAATATGAGTATTTGAAAGTTTCACTGTTAAATTTATATTATCACATATTAAATGAAAGAACTGTTAACTGTGTACTGAATTCAAAAGTTAATATAGCTTCTCTCTTTTTTAAGAAATGGGACACAATATTAAAAAATTAAAGAGTTTTCAAATATTTATACTTAAATTTATATCTAAGGAATTATATATAGAATGCATACCTTTCAAGTAGATACTATTGTTGCTGTTAAGATTATTGTCAACAAAATTTAAACACACAGACTATTAAATAAAGAAATTAAAACAACAAAAAATAACCTCTAGGCCAGGTGTCCTGGTTAACCTGTAATCCCAGCACTTTAGAAGCTTGAGGCAAGAGGATTGCTGGAGACCAATAGTTTGAGACCAGCCTGAGCAGCAAACTGAGACTCTATGTGTATCAAAAAATGTTTTAAAAGTAGCCGGGTACTGAGGCAGGCACTTGTAATCCCAGCTACTTGGGAGGCTGAGGTGGGAGGTATGCTTGGGCCCAGGATTTTGAGGCTGCAGTGAGCTGTGATTGCACCACAGCCCTCCAGCCTGAGAGAGAGAGGAGACCTTGTTTCTAAAAACTAACTAAATAAACAATAATGTAAAAAATCTCTCTTTAGGTGTATGCTTCTCTTTGCCAGTGTTTAAGGGTTAAAAAAATCAATATGAGAGATTAACTAAAGTACCAATTTAGAGTTAAATGAGTGCATTTGCCACTTGAGTGCCGATTGCCTCGCATGACAGACAATATTAAGTGCTGATGACTTTAACTTTCACAAGTTTTACGCGATAGTGGGATAAATTTTTACTTAAAATGTGTTAAACTTCGGTTTAATTGCACTAATTAATGTCTCAATAGATATACTGTTGTATCTACCTCAAAATGCAAACACCAATGAAGTAATTCATCAGAAGACTTGATATGAATAAAGAATGGAACAGTAAAGTTGAAGATAAAAAACATAGAAATTGAATAACAAATACAAGTAAGAAACAAGAAGAGTGATAAATAGCAGAACATGGCATCCAAGAGCTGAAGGACAGCTCTGGATGCCTAACTTGAACGGATTCATGAAAGAGAACAAGGATGATAAATACTTAAAAACAAAATGAATGAGAATTTTCCAAAAGAAGTGAAGGCAATCAAATCGTAAATCCAAGAAACATTTCTAGAGATATAGGGGCTACGTAAACAAACTAAAAAAAAGGTAAAAAATTATATGAAGACAAACATAGTTGTGTTGTATGTATTATATAGTTAAATATACGTTATACACAGGCACGAAGAAAAGAAGTACAGGAAACCTGTCCTCAAGAACTATTTAACTGTATACTGGAAATTTTAACCAGTGTACTAAAGTAAGAAAAATAAACAAAAGGCATACAAATTGGATACGAAGAAATAAAACTCTATTTGTTTCGTGGATGGTCTATGCACAGTATTCCATTATGTACAAAATAATTAAAATTATTAGCAGTGAAGCTGCTAGAAATAAATTGTGAGTACAAAATAATTAAAATTATTAAAAGTGAAGCTACTAGAAATAAATTGTGAGTTTTGTAATTTCACACTATGCACTATAACACTATAATGCTAATATACAGAATTATTTTTTATATATAATTGTTGCAGGAAAAACCCAGACCTGTGTAGAAGAACATCCCTCTGCCAAAGAGATAGTGCTGAAATAACAAAGAAGGACTCAGACAAGTCCAGCTTCATGAGAAGACGAGTTTATTAGGACTTACGTAAAGGGCAGCGGGATAAAACTCCAGAGATCCGCCTGCTGCCCACCATCTTCCTCTAAGCTGCTTTTAAGCTACTTTTCTTTTCTTTTCTTTTCTTTTCTTTTCTTTTCTTTACTTTTCTTTTCTTTTCTTTTTTTTCTTTTCTTCTTTTCTTTTCTTTTCTTTGACGGAGTCTCGCTCTGTCGCCCAGGCTGCAGTGCAGTGGCGGGATCTCGGCTCACTGCAAGCTCCGCCTCCCAGGTTCACGCC
This sequence comes from Homo sapiens, assembly GCF_000001405.40. Lineage (NCBI taxonomy): Eukaryota > Metazoa > Chordata > Mammalia > Primates > Hominidae > Homo > Homo sapiens. Next base: position 427,851 of record NW_025791777.1, on the reverse strand, counting down.
ATTCTCCTGCCTCAGCCTCCCGAGTAGCTGGGACTATAGGCGCCTTCCACCACGCCCGGCTAATCTTTTGTATTTTTAGTAGAGACGGGGTTTCACCACGTTAGCCAGGATGGTCTTGATTTCCTGACCTCGTGATCCGCCCGCCTTGGCCTCTCAAAGTGCTGGGATTACAGGCATGAGCCACCGCGCCCGGCCAAAGCTACTTTTCTGGCTCTTTGCTTACTACATGTGATGAAACTGTTCTTCTTGGTATGTACCTAGATATGCTCCCGGATGTTTTGGTTTTCAGGGACATCTGCTCCTCGGCTGAGCACCATGAACTTTGCTCACCATCTAGCCTTCAGGACTCAAGCAGTCAACATATGCCCTTAAATTCCCTGGTGGGGGACCCGCTACTTTACAACACTATTAATGAACAATTGGAAATTAGAATTTTTTAAAGTTACATTTAAAGTAGCACAAGAAACATTAAATTCTTAATCTAAAAAAACATGGAGAAAGGGTAACAAAAACTAAAAAAACACTGGTAAAAGAAATCAAAGAAGAAGTAAATAAGTAAAGAGCTTGGTAGCCAATATTGACAATAAATTAATTCTGTTCAAACCAATCAAAAAATTCAATACAAAAATTCAATCCAGTTAAAATTCCTAACAGGATATTTGCAACTAACAAACAAGCTCATTCTAAAACTTTCAACAGAGAAGCAAAGGAATTATAATGGAAAAATCATTTTGACAATAAAAAAATTGAAGAATCCACTGATTTATATGTATACTATATACATATATGTAATATACATATGTATATCTGTTGGTGACTTTAACCATATGATTCATAATTTCAAAAACTGGTGAATAGTCAAAAAGTTATATACTGTATCTATTTAATATCACGTTAGGAAGAAAAAGAAACAAATCTGATAACATAACAACATGAATGTGTCTCAGATTTATTATGCTATTTAAAAAGCCAGATTTAAAGGCCTATTCAGGATGCTGTTTGCTCCCTTGTGTATGACATTCTAGAAAATATAAAACCATAGGGACAAAGAACAGCGATTTCCAAAGACTGAGGGCAGCAGAAATACTGATTCAAAAGGCACAAAAGGGAATTTTTCTAGGTGATGGTACTGTTCTATATCTTGAGGATGGTATTTGTTATATAACCATCTATGTTTTCAACACACTGCATACTTAAAAAGATGACTTTTGGCATATATAAATTTTAATTCGATAAACCTGAGTTTTTAAAACAAAGATTTTCTGTAACCAGTAGACTCATAACACTGTCTTCCTGTCATTGACTAAGATGGTTTCGATAGTGCATTCCTCTTGTTCATGCCAGCCAATGTGTCTTTTGTTTAACCAAAACCCTTGAAATATCTTTGCCTCAGGCTTTTATTGAAATTTCCTGTAATTTAAAGACTTCACCCTCCTATTCACAGGAGTTAGTATCTTGAAATGGTAATAACTTGAAAACAGCTATGGTGGGAGGACTTACTCTTTGAAGTGTAACTTACATACATGCAGCATACACCATGTATCAAGACTTTCTTTTTTTCTGGTTTTTTTTTTTTTTTTTTTTTTTTGAGATGGCGTCTCACTCTGTTGCCCAGTCTGGAGTGCAGTGGTGTGGTCTCAGCTCGCTGCAACCTCCACCTCCCTGGTTCAAGCGATTCTCCTGCCTCAGCCTCCTGAGTAGCTGTGACTACAGGCACCATGCCACCACGCTGGGCTAATTTGTGTATTTTTTATTAGAGACGGGGTTTCACAATATTGGCCGGGCTGGTCTCGAACTCCTGACCTTGTGATCCACCCGCCTTGGCCTCCCAAAGTGCTGGGATTACAGGCGTGAGCCACCGTGCCCAGCCGACTTTCTTTTCATTTGGATCACTAGTTTACCAACATCACTGCCTTTACTCAACTCTATTAACAATTATTTAACCTAGTTTATCAAGTCACTTGTCAAAATAGAGATTTATATTGTTTATATATGTAATATTTTACAAATCTGTATTTTTGTACTTCACTATCTAATTAAACCTTTGGGGTAACTTTTATGTGTATCCCAAATAGGACAGGACAGTCATTCATTTCTTATAATGTATCAGCTAATTTCAAGGAGACATCGGAATTTTTGTGGAGACATCGGAATCTGAAGAGCAAAGTGATTCAAATTGGGTCACAGATTAAATAATTTTTAAAATGTTTACTTTAAATATCTTAAAAAACTTTAAGGAGAAAATTAATTTTTCTATATTGTTCTTGGCCTTAAAATATACATTAAGCATTAGTTTTCTGGCTTTTGATGTTTTTCATAAAATTAGCTCAAAAAATGCAAAAAGCTTGTATGAATATATAAGGGCCTTTGTAATCATATTGTAATTGCTTGACATAGTTAATTTCTTGATTTCTGACTCTGGCATCTGAGTTTCATAATTGTTATGTAATTACTCTATTTTTTTAAATCATGTTTTTAAATGGAAGTTTCAGTCTCAGATCTTTTCTATTTCATGCAATAAATAATTTTTAGCAGTAAAGAATTATTTGGCAATAAATATTTTTTGAGACGTCATGCTCCAATGATATAATTTAGTCCACTTTCTGCTTGAAAATATGCAAAGAAGAAATCTCTTGTTGGTATTAATTTCAGAAGTCGTCTTTGCACACACAATGATGATCATTCTGTTTTCCTTAGATAATTCATGGTAGTGTAACCCAATAATATAATCTTAGATGTGTAACTTACATACATGCACGTGGCACATGAAGCATGTGGTGTACTGAGATGAAAATAAGCTTGTAAAAGTCATTGGTTACCTAACTGCGGCTTGGTACCTAGCACACCCTACCTGCAACGGTCCCAACAGTTACACTGGCTCTATTTGACTTAGATGATGCAGGGGTGGGTTCAAAATCCCTCTCTTTTTCCTAATTACATACGACTGAGCATCCCTTCCCTTGTCTCAATCTGGGATTTTGAGAGTTTATTATAAGATCCCCAGTGAAAATCCACCCAGGTGGTTCTTCCCTACCCTCTTTAAATGTTCACACCCTAGTGTGAACAAGCTAGAAGTGGATTCTTTGAGGCAGTGACAACAGACCATGTTCAACTTCTACACTCCTTGATGTTTGTGTATTGGAAGAAGGTGTGACAAGATGCCAGGCACCAGAATTTCAGGTTGGTCTTTATGGAATTCTTGAACTCTAGGGCTGCATCCCTCCCTATAATGAGGCAAAGTTGGGGAAGTAGAAAGTTCAATGCAGCCTATGATTTTTACCTCATGGTTTTCTATAACCTAATACATATCACATTGAATTATGTGTTAACTCGTGAGCATTCAAATTAATAGAGCATGCTGTACCAAAATATTGTCATTATTTTGGTTATTATAAATTATATATGGCCATGATCAGTGCTATAGGGCAAGACTATATCATTTTTTACTTCTAGGCTAAAAGGATTATGTTCCTACACATGAATTATGTAACTTTTTAAAAAAAATAGTGATATTTTTCTATTAGAAGTTAAAGCAATTAGTTCTTTACAACATTGGCTACGTACTCAAATCAACTGATTCCTGGGTTTCCCCTCAATCCAAGTAAATTAGGCAGAGAGCAAAACTAAGGAACAGTATTTTCAAAGAGGACCAGGATTGACAATGACTGGTATTCAAATAGCTGTGAATTTGTGCAAATGTAGCAGAAGACAGCAAAGGGTTCTGGATATGCCAATTATTATTTATTTTTATTATACTTTAAGTTCTAGGGTACATGTGCACAATGTGCAGGTTTGTTACATATGTATACATGTGCCATGTTGGTGTGCTGCAGCCATTAACTCGTCATTTACATTAGGCACATCTCCTAATGCTATCCCTGCCCCCTCCTCCCACCCCACGACAGGCTCTGGTGTGTCGTGTTCCCCACCCTGTGTCCAGGTGTTCTCATTGTTCAATTTGCACCTATGAGTGAGGATATGCGGTGTTTGGTTTTCTGTCCTTGCGATAGTTTGCTCAGAATGATGGTTTCCAGCTTCTAGAACTGGAAATACCATTTGACCCAGCCATCCCATTACTGGATATATACCCAAAGGATTATAAATCATGCTGCTATAAAGACACATGCACACATATGTTTATTGCGGCACTATTCACAATAGCAAAGACTTGGAACCAACCCAAATGTCCATCCATGATAGACTGGATTAAGAAAATGTGGCACATATACACCATGGGAATACTATGCAGACATAAAAATGTATGAGTTCATGTCCGCTGTAGGGACATGGATGAAGCTGGATATGCCAATTATTATTAAAATAATTTTTGGGTTAAGCTGATTTTTACTTTTCTGAAAGAAAGATCCAAACACAATGCCTATAATAAATCTTAGAAATTGTCTGTCTCCATTGGTGAGATTAGTCAGTATAAACACTAACATATATAAATAAAACCAAACAACAGTTACTCTTTTCCATAATGTTATGCTTTTGTGTTCAATGAAATATTTAATTTAATTACTAAATTTCTAGCATTTCTCTGAAGGATAAAACAAATAAGCAAACAAACAAATTAACAAGAAAAACCCAAAATAACTTCAATGAATTAAAACTGTCTAGTGCTACCTTTCCTGTAATTATCGTCACCAAATAAAGTGCCTATTGGACAGAGATGGCTGGTTCACTGCAATCTCCATTGACCCTTTCGCCATCAGTAAAAATGTCCTCTAATGCTTAGCCGGACACATGATCACCAGGAATAAATGCTATATTCCCAATCTTTTCTTAACATAGGGCATGACACATGTGACCAATTTCTGACCTATGTTGTGTAAGGGGAAGTAACGCGTGTAACTTCTGAGAAGCTGACTTACATGCCGGGGGCATGTCCTATCTCTGTGCTTTCTTCCTTCTTGGAAAGGCAGCTCTGATGGCTAGATCTGGGGCAGCCATGGGGCAACATGACAAGCAGCAGTACTTGGAGGTGCAAAGCAACAAGATAATAGCCATCTGGATTTCTGATGATCATGAAGACATCATATCTGAACTGGGGTGTCTGCATATCCCTGAGAGGCAAAAAATGTCTATATTGTTTCCGTGAGTTCTTAGCCTACACTGCACATACGAGTTATCAGAGAACTTTCAAAATTTATCAAATGCCCAGTTCTATTAAGGTATCTGGAAACTTATTCTTGGCCTATAATTTTCCACTGGGTCAACTATAACCCAGGTTTATCTGTCTTCTATATCCAGAGACTGTACCCTGCTCCTATGCAGTCTTGCTCTCTCCATAGCTTCATATGTGCAGCAGAACTCACCCTCTGCCTTCCATAACCAGGAGTGGGGCGCTACCTTCCCTCACCTGACTCCTGTGCTGCAGAAACTTGCTAAGAAACACGGAGCATATGTTTCAGACTCAGAATAAAATTATTTTTACAGTCACCAAGTTTTAGAGGTTCTGATTTAGTGTATCTGGGTGTGTCCAGGGTACCAGTGTGCTCCCTTCTCACTCAAATGAAAATTACTGGAACATGATGTTATTTGGTATTCAGTTACACAAAGCTGAGTGTAACTGATTGGTTAATAGTAAAAGTTTTGATTTCAGTAAAATAGTTGAATTATTCTAAACCATAACTTTGTAGCTACATGATTTGGGTGAGATGATTTTTTTTTTTTTTTTTGAGAAGGACTCTCGCTCTGTCACCCAGACTAGAGGGCAGTGGTGTGATCTTGGCTCACTGCAACCTCCTCCTCATGGGTTCAAGTGATTCTCCTGCCTCAGCCCCCCGAGTAGCTGGGATTACAGGTGTGCACCACCATGCCGGACCGGTTTTGTACTTTAGTAGAGATGAGGTTTCACCATGTTGGCCAGGCTGGTCTCAAACTCCTGATCTCAGGCGATCCACCTGCTTTGGACCCCCAAAGTGCTGGGATTACATGAGTTAGCCACCACACCCTGCCTGAGATGATGTTTTTGAGCCACAGTATTCCCATCAGTAAACCGGACATACTAATTGTAATTTCAGGTATTTTTGTGACACATATATTGTTGAAATTATTATTATTAAATTACTGACTTTAATAATACATTCTTAAATTAGTTATTATTATAATAACATAATTAATATTGAAAGCAGTTTATAAACTTGCGTGGTGCTAGGGGGCACTACAATGTAAAGGAATTTATGTAATAAAAGTAAAGATGCAACGTTTGATTTTATTTTTCATGTTTTGTAATGCAAAAATTAACTGTCCTTTTATTTAAATTACAGCACATGCAAATTAACTTTTAGGTATATAATTATTCTGAATTATTTCAGAAAACTATTATGGTCTCATCACTGGATTAAAAAATGTAATAATATTCTCAGTTTAAAGAAAATGCACAGGTTTTAAATCCTCTGTGATAAGGGCCCATGAACTTGGAGCTGCTGATTTTTTTTTTTTTTAATTTGCAGGGTTTTTACATAACAAATTATCAGAAACCAAAGCACCCAGATATCAGACTATGAATAGAAAACATCTTTCCTGAACAAGTACAGGCTTTATTACTTAATTGTATTTACACTGATGAGTGCACACAAAGAAAAATCAATTTGTGGGAGTTTATTTCATTGGTATTGAAATTGTATCTTCCTTGAAAAACTTGGCACACAGTGCCTAGTTTGTCTCCCAGTTCATTATATTATTATTTTACTATATTCTGTGCTGTTATGTAGTTTTATATGGGCTCACTAGTTGAGTGTTCAAAATTGCTTTTCTAAACTATAGAATATTAACTTCCAGTATTTACCAAAAAAAGTTATTTATTAAAAAAATCACAATAAAAGGGCATAAAATAAATATAAATACTCAACATTTTCAAGGTTCTTGTGGAATCATTCTGAAAGCATTAAAAGGAGAGGCTGGAAATCTGCGTTTATAATATTGGTCATTTCCCTACCTACTTAATAGTAACATTAAAGCTTCCTCAGTATGCTTTCTGAAACAAGTAAAAATGTTCTTTTACCTTAACTTATACTGTGGAAAATCTCAAAGGAATGCTAGAAAACCATTCCAATGTACTCACCCAAACAACACAAAATACCCACACCTTCTCCAATTCAAGCAATCATTTAATTAATCGAAAGAGCTGAGATGCACTCCCTCTCTACCTCATAAGGGCTTCCATCATGAACTTGATTGTGTCCTAAATTCAGTCCTCCAGGAGAAGCTCATCACCCTCCCCATGTCCTGAATGTCAGAATCCAAAGCTGGAAACTGCATCCTACTTAATCTTTATGTTTTTTGAAAAAGTTTATCTTTCTTCCCGGGAATAAAAACATCTATTCTCTGAGGCACATGTAAGCATTTATCCTTCAGTATAATGAACTTTTTTAGTCATATTGTTAATGACAAGCTTACATAAATTTTTTTCTGCTCCCACCTTCAAAGCTCCAAGCCCTGTATTCTTACAGGATGATATTCATAAACTATTCGACCTTAGCTTCCCTCCACTTAAGCCTTTCTTGCTCAGAATCACTCCTTTTATTAGTTATCTGTTGATGCTTAACATATTACCTCCAAAACTTAGTGGATTAAAACAACAAACATTCATTATGCCAACTTCTCTGGGTCAAGAACTATATCAGAATTAGTAAGGCCCTCTAGCTCAAGGACTCTCATAAGGCTGCCATCATTTAAAAGCCTTACTTAGGGAAGATTCACTTCTAAGATTAATCATGTGGCTGGGGGCAGTCCCCAGGTCCTTCCTTGCTGGCTGTGACTGGTGACACTGGCTCCGTGCTATGTGGACTTCTTAATAGGCAGCGCCCAACATAGAAGTCAGCTTCCCTTACAATGAAAGAGAGAGAGAGGATTCCCAAGACAGAAGCCACAGTCTTTGTGCAATCTAATGTTGGAAGTGATATCCATCACTTCTGCCACAGTCTATTTGATAGTGAAGTGAGATAAATTCAACTAGGACAACAGAGTAGAAGATTCCTCAAGGAGTTACCTCTACCAGGGGTACAAGTGACATGGAGCAATTTTAGAGGCTGCTTACCAAACCCACGAAATGTATAATGACAAAACATGATATTCCTCTTAAATGACTAAATAAGCACACCACTCTTTGATCAATCTCCTGTCTGTTCAGTGTGGCAACAATTCCCACTGCAGCTGTTCTCCTGCCTCACTAAGACTTTCAATCCACTGGTGCCTCAGCCTTTGCCTATAGCATTATGATCCTCCTGCGGTCAGTTACTCCCACAAGCAAACTAACAATGGCTCTTCTCAACACTGGCTTTATGTTAGAATTGCCTGAGGAGGTTCCAAAGATACATATGAGTGCCTTGGCCCCAATTGAGATTGGCTGACCCAGTGTCTCTGGGACCTGGCATTCTATTATGATACTAATATGCAGCAATAGTTGGGAATCGATATTGTAGATTCAATTACTGAATATTTTAAAATGTAATTGCCAGTAACATAAAACCAGAATTGACATACTGCTTCCCTTGGGCTAAATACAATCCATCACCTATTTTTTAAATAAATTCTTATTGGAACGCAGCCACATTTTCTTATTGTCCATGGTTGCTTTTGCAGAACATGGGAGAACTGAGTACTTCCTACAGAGACAATATGGCTCACAAAATAAAAATATTTACTATCTGGCCCTTTGCTTAAAAAAAATTACTGAGTTTTGACCTATCCCCTTTCACATCTTCATTTTTCTCTCTCTCTTTCTCTCTCTCTCTCTCTCTCCCTCGGTTGCTTTTGGTTTTGTCCTTTTTAGAAGCACATTGCAACCTCTTCTCTAGATGAACTCAACTATCTGATTTCTGCATATTTCTCAGTCCATGACTGCTGCTGAAGAATGCCATGCAAGAAAACAAACTGATAATATTTTAAGACGATGATCACCATTGGAAACCGGGTTTTCAATTGTGCCTGACATAACTTTTTCAATCTCTACAATCCTCTAATTTCTGACACTCTCTTCTCCCTTCTCACTTCTCTCTCTCTGCAGATGACTTTGCTACTGCAACACAGAGAAAATATAAGTCTTTACACTCATAGTCTTTCAACTACCTGGCACTAAATCAATATACCTGTCTCCATTTGCAACTATTATCTTTCTCCCTGATCCTGTCAAGATGATCTTACTCTTTGTTGTAGGCTACTTTCCTCCTCTGACTTCAGAATTAGTTCTCACCTGACATTAAGAGGAAATTTACATTGTTACCAATTTCTCTACTGAAAATCCAACTTTTTATTTCCACGTAGATGCTTCCCATCGTGGTTTCCATGAACTTTATTGTCTCAATGATTGTCATTTTAGATCTATAACTCTTTTTCTGAGCTTTGGGTCTATATAAGCCAAATTTCTGCTCAACGGAGCAACCATATCCCCACTTTAATTGGACAAGTCTCTCCAGAAAATAAATCTCCTATTTCCTGTTGTGTTAAATGAAGAATAATTACTAAGGTATTCAGTAATGATAAAGAATCTGGGAATTTAACTGTTCTTGATATGAAATTTCAAACTACACACTTTTTTTGGGGGGGAAGCCAAACCCACCTCCAGCATTTTATTCCCACACATGATAAGCTTGTCCAAGGTGTGTGTGGTTTGGATGACTTTATATTTTGTTAGCTTTCCTCTTCCCTCTACATATGGACACTATCTTTTGTCAAAAGGAAACGTGTACACTGGATGCTTGTTAAAAATAGCAAGGAAGACTATTCAGGACTATAGCAATGGGGGAATAATATAGCTATAGTAGAGAGAGATTGAACTAAAATTTCTCCCAGCATGGAGCTGGAAATTTATAAGCAAAGAGCTGAGGGAGTGAGTCAGTGGATAGAAACTAATTAGATATTAAGGGTGGCGGGGGGTGGGGTGGCGGGGAGCGGGGTTCTTGCTAAACTGCATTATTGCTAAAGGCATGCCAAAGTGATAAGATATCAAGGGCGAAGTGATTCTCAGTGAACTGGCTTAGCAGGCGTCTTTGTTAAACTGGGCCTGAGAAGAGGGACTGGAGAAGAATGATTAAACTTTGGTCAAGATGGGAATCTGTCAGTTTTGGCCTTCTCTAATCTATGTGGTTACGCTGCTCGAGAGCTTGCTAAGATGTATTCAAGAAGGCTAGTGTATTAGCTTGTTCTCACACTGCTGCTATAAAGAAACACTTGAGATGGGGTAATTTATAAAGCAAAGAAGTTTAATTGGCTCGCAGTTCTGCAGGCTGAACAGGAAGCATAGCAGCATCTGCTTCTGGGGAGGCTAAAGGGAGATTTTACTCATGGCAGAAGGCAAAGTGGAAGCACGAATCTTGCAAGGCAGAAGCAGGACTGAGAGGAAGAGAAAAGGTGCCACACACTTTCACCAACCATATCTCATGAGGATGCTATCATGATACAGCATCAAAGGGGGAAATCTGCCCCCATGATCCAGTCACCTCCCACAAGACCCCACCTCCAACACTGGGGATTACAATTCGGCATGAGATTTGGTAAGGGACACAGATCCAAATCATATCAGCTAGTAATAAAGTGTATTAAGATTTAGGAGTTGGGCCGGGCGCGGTGGCTCACGCCTGTAATCCCAGCACTTTGGGAGGCCGAGGCGGGCGGATCACGAGGTCAGGAGATCGAGACCATCCCGGCTAAAACGGTGAAACCCCGTCTCTACTAAAAATACAAAAAAAAAAAAAAAATTAGCCGGGCGTAGTGGCGGGCGCCTGTAGTCCCAGCTACTTGGGAGGCTGAGGCAGGATAATGGCGTGAACCCGGGAGGCGGAGCTTGCAGTGAGCCGAGATCCCGCCACTGCACTCCAGCCTGGGCGACAGAGCGAGACTCCGTCTCAAAAAAAAAAAAAAAAAAAAAAAAAAAAGATTTAGGAGTTGATATGGTTTGGCTGTGTCCCCACTCAAAATCTCATGGTGAATTGTAAACCCCATAATCCCCACATGTCAAGGGAGAGACCAGGTGGAGGTAATTGAATCATGGAGGTGGTTTCTCCCAAGCTGTTCTCATGACAGTGAGTGAGTTCTCTCGAGATCTAATGGTTTTACAACTGTTCGGCAAGTTCCTCCTTCCATCCTTCTTTTTCCTGCCATTTTGTGAAGAAAGTGCCTGCCTCCCTTTCATCTTCCACTACGATTGTAAGTTTCCTGAGGCCTCCCCAGTCATAGGGAACTGTGAGTCAATTAAACCTCTTTCTTTAATAAATTACTCAGTCTCAGGTATTTTCATATAGGAATGTGAGAAAGGACTAATACAGGAATCTTCAAGGACATCCCATCCAAATTAAAAGTTGTGTATCACTTGCTTCTTTGACCTCATCTACTGTATTAATTACATTTATATGTATATATACACACACACACATATGCAAACATATATATATATATCAGCTTTACTAAATGGTCTCTATATTCTCAGTTTTATTGTTTCATTAGGAAAAGAAATTGGCTGGGATATTGGTAACAGTATATTTCTGCTTATGCTGTAATACCCAAGTTGAAACATTTGATAGAAATTGATTGATGCTTGTTACCTGATGTTTTAAAATAAGGGCTAAATAGTTATATATCTCAATATTATCGTTATCCTGGATGTGACAGGGTACAGATGTGACAATGCATGTTTTTATAGTGTGTTCTACTGGTGATTCAAATAACTAAGGTATTGCCATTGGCAACATAATTTTTGTAAATATTGAAAGACTCTGGGAAGTTTCTACAATAAAAAGACTTTTTCTCTTCAATTTCCGTAGTGGTTGCATTCTGAAAAATTTAGTTTGTATTAAGCCATTCAAAGTATTTACATGTAAAATATTCATTTCTTGACTAAATAATTACAGATGATCACTTACGTGGCTATCCATTGGGGCATTTGATGGGAATATTTTTTACAATGTAGGATCGCAGGATATCTAGTATTGTTTGTCCTCACATTGGAAATACAATTACTGCCTTCTGATCGTTTTGACAATGGAGACACTCAAGCATTTCTAAACAGAAAAAGCTGGTACAAGCACACTTGAAGCACAATACATCTGAAAGGCACATGAAGAGTTCAATAAAATGTTTAACAACTGAAAAGACTGCAGAAATAAATTTAAGTATTCTGTCTATACTAAAATCCAAATGTAAATTATATTAGAGTTGCAGCTATTTAATACGCTATTTCAGCATTCACATGCTATTTTCATTTTCTATTCAGATGTTTTTTCCACTGCCAGACACTTTCTAACAAGTCCTTCAAACCCTCTTTATAATAACTTATGAAAATATTTGTTACATTATGCTCAATGATTTCCTCAATTAAAATGATATATAAAATAAGAACAAGTGAGAGGAAAAAAACATAGTTTGTGCATCTGTTTTGTGATAAATATAGTAGTTAGATCTATTTTATATAAATTTTCTCATTAAACCCACATCAAACTTTTTCTCCTGTATTTTTTAAATGGAAAATGTGAGGTTGATAGGAGTTAATTAACTCTACTAATAGCTGACGGAAATGAAACTATCATTACTGAGAACTATGGTTGGTTTTTACAATTATTTCATTTTTTGTTGGTTTGTTTTTGTTTTTGTTTTTTGAGATGGAGTTTCGTTCTTGTTGCCCAAGCTGGAGTGCAATGGCGTGATCTCAGCTCACTGCAACCTCTGCCTCTTGGATTCAAGTGATTCTCCTGCCTCAGCCTCCTGAGTAGCTGGGATTACAGGCACGTGCCACCACGCCCAGCTAATTTTGTATTTTTGGTAGAAATGGGGTTTCTCCATGTTTGTCAGGCTGGTCTCGAACTCCCAACCTCAGGTGATCCACCCACCTCCGCCTCCTAACGTGCTGGGATTACGGGTATGAACCAGCATGCCCGGCCAATCTATATCTTTTAAGTGTGAAATGCTTTCAGAAAAATATTTCAACCAAAAGGGAGAAATGTGGAAGTTGTGAGCACCAAAATGGAGTCACTTACATCAAACCATAAAAAAATGAAGCTGGGAGGCCATGAAAGAGGGGCCTTCATGTACATATGTCTATAATAAGAACTGCTGCAATGGTTCTCTCAAAAACCACAAAAATGTTAGATATGATAATTCTATGAAGACATCTCTCCAGCAACAGCCAATATTATCAATGAGTATTTGCCAACTCTTGTAACAAGCTTCTCTGGCCCATGAGGTTTATTACAAAACTTACATAAAATTTCTCTTTTAAGATTTTTGCCTTCCTGATATGGTTTAGATTTGTGTCCCCACCCAAATCTCATGTCGAATTGTAATCCCCAATGTTGGAGGAGGGGCTTGGTGAGAGGCGATTGGATCATGGGGGTGGATTTCCTCCTTGCTGTTCTTGTGATAGTGAGTTCTCATGAGACCTGCTTGTTGAAAAGTGTGTGGTATTTCCCCTTTGCCCTCTTCCCCCTGCTTCGGCCATGTAAGACGTGCCTCCTTCCTTTTTGCCTTCTGCCATCATTGTAAGTTTCCTGAGGCCTCCTCCAATCATGTTTCCTGTACAGCCTATGAAATCATGAGTCAATTAAACCTCTTTTCTTTATAAATTACCAAGTCTCAGGTAGTTCTTTGTGCTAGAACAAACTAATACAGTCCCTCAGCTTCTTTGGTGCCTAAGGTCCACCATAGCATGTGTATTTCAAATTGCAATTTACTGCTATTTCCTGAATACACTCCACTCTTTATTTTAGAGAGTCAGTATCTCTGTTGTTTAAGTTGACATAATCTAATGTCAGAAGCAAGATGCAAAGGCTCCAAGCCTTCTTTGTTACTTACAGTTACAGCACTGTTATCCAAACAGTAACAAAGAAAGCCTTTGGAAGGCTTTCAAGTATCTGGCGATACTTGAAATTGTGTATGATACTCACCTGAGCCTATTGTGATCTTCACTTGTACAAGTTGTCTTTATGCTGCGAGATAAGTCCTCTCTTGGTTTGAGCTCCCACCTTTTCAGTGAACTCTTACATTTTGGGGGATCTGCTCTTGTAAAGGACATCCTTTCTGGTGAGTATTCTTTTGGTTTAATTTTTGGTTTGGTTATTTGTGCATGAATTTAATCTCATTAGGAAACAAGTTAAGTTGAATAGACCAACTAGTGAATTAATCCGTCACCAAAATATATGTTTTTGGCATTTACCTGTTTATTTTGAAACTCTTTGTAAGAAATGTAAACCTGTAATGATAATCTCTGCTTTGTAAGGATATCTCCCTCTCTGACACCTAAAACACTAGATGCTTTCACAAAGCAAAAGGAAGAGACCTAAATCTATCTATCTGTGTAAACTCACCCTTGACCATTTCATTTTGAAGGCTTCCTATATATGCTTTTTTTCATCTCAACAAATAGTGGTGTTTAAGTTCTGTACCTTTGAGATTTAAATTTTCTACATTCCTTCACCTAAAAATCATCTCTTTGGAAGTACAAATTTTGGGTGGCCTAACTAACACTTGTTTATGGGCCAATTGAACAGATCATTAAAAGACAGATAGTCTGAAAGAGGGAGTAAAACTACTTGCAAGCCAGGCAAATAACAATTCTTAATGCAAGTTGTAAGTTCTTCCTCTGTCTGTATTTTTCTACGTGTGTGTGTGTGTGTGTGCGTATGTACAATTTTTTCTACCAAAATTCATAAACGGCTCTACTTAATTGGCTTACAGAGAAAACATAAGTGTTTAAACTAAGAATTCTCTCAGAAAAACAGAAACTCAATTGCCTTTTGGCTTATGTGATGAAATAATCTTTGGCAGACAAAGCTAGTTTTAAAATTTGTTGGCAAAATAAAAACAAATATTTTCAGAATTGTCAGCATTAATTACAATGTACAGATACAGTTTTTAAACCTAAAGTTACTGGTGAAACAAGCTTGCTATTACTGAGATGTATAATGAATGTCTTAAAGCTATAAATCCACTCATCGTTGTGTTTAAGGAGGAACTGAAGCACAATTGTTAAGAACAAGTGAATTAGGTGAATATACATTGACAAAAGGTTGATAATAAAGTTGTCAGAATTTCAAAAATAATTTAGTGTGACTTGAAATCTTAAAATCATGTTATATTAAATTAAGTAACACTTTACTGATTTAATATTTGAGTCATTTCTAAGGAAAATACTGAAATATCAATTGCTTAACAGAAGTTTAAAATATACGTAATTTGGCATCTTGGTTTCACATGTTATGGAAAAGCTAAACATATTTGGGCCTGTTAATTAAAGGCATAAAAATTATTTTATGAGATGGTGTTCATCTGCAAAATACTAACATGATGCACTTCAAAATGCTTACTAATTTTCACTAGAAATTAAGGTTACTAAGAGTTAATTAAAATTAATATTAGAGTAATTTAAACTAGAAATAATGAAGGGAAACAAATCTGTACGTGAGGGAAGGAAAACACATACAGAAAGTTATAAGTAAGAGGTTGTGTTTTTGTTAAGGGAAAAAGAGAGTATTTTTTGTCTAAAAGTAGAATGTCTTACTGTTCCAAAAAGAAAAAGAGAAAAAATATAGACAAAAACTGAATAAGATAACTGGATGACAAATTTATAGAAAGTTTGTGGAAGATTAATCTTGTGAAAAGAATTTTATGTGTGACCAAGTTGGCTAAAGTTAAAAGGAAATTATTTATAAATATTCTGAAAACTTGAGCATTATTATCAAAAGTACAGGAATGGAAAACTTGAAATTTGTCCCCTGTGCTGAAACAACAAGCTTTTCTTTGAGTATTGACCTGCTCTTAATAGAAAATAGTGAAATGTTTTCTCTACCTTTTAGATAACTGGCCTAATAAACCAAGATTTTTTGTTTATCAAGGTAATTTCTTATGCTTTATGCTCTCTTTTACTAGGTCTTTGATTACTTGAGAAAAGTGAGTGAGGTGGGGCCAAGATGGTTGACTAGAAGCAGCTAGTGTGTGCCACTCTCACAAATAGCAGAAAGAGTGGTGAGACACTAGCTCTTCAACCGGAACATCCAGGTGGACACATAAGGATTCATCAGTGACATAGTGTGACCTTCGGATCACGGAGAAGAGTGAGACAGATCAACCATTCACCCAGGAGTGGCACAGACCCAGGGGAATCCCCCTACAAGAAAATGGTGAGTGAGTGAGAGTCCCGTGGGATGCATATTTCTGCCACGAACCTTTGAATCCCTGGGCTCAGGAGATACCCCAGCTGGGGTCTCCAGACCAAAACAGAGAGCCATGTGGAGTCTGGGTAGAGCTGCTTCTTAGGTAGGTGTGGAGTCCCAGTAGCATTTGTTCCCTGGGTACCCCAAAACCAGGGGCTGCAGCTCCAGCAATTGGGAAGGCCAAGTTTTCTTGCACGCTCCCCAGAAAAGGGGCCAAGTCCATGGGGCTGAGCAGTGATAGACTGCAGACCTCACCACCACTGAACCTTGTAGGATAAGGCCCACTAGCCTGGGATGCTAGTGAGGCCACCCTAGTCCTCCTGAGTTCTCCAGCTGGGAGCAGCTCTACACTTCTCCGGCATGCAGCTCCCAAAGAGAGAGGCAGTCCACCTTTTTGCTGTCTCGCAACCCTCCCTCCTGCTGCTCTCAGGCTTGGGAGGGTGCACAGCAATTAGGGACTATCACAGAACCCCAGCACAGTGCATCTGGTGAACTTAAAAAAATCAACAAGTGAAAAACAAACAATCCCATTTAAACGTACACAAAGTACATGAACGGACACTTTCAAAGGAGGGCATACATGTGGCCAGAAAGCATATGACAAAATGCTCAACATCACTAATCATTAGAGAAATGCAAATCAAAACCACAATGAGATACCATCTCACACCAATGAGAATGGCTATTATTAAAAACTCAAAAAATAAGAGATGCTAGTGAGGTTGTGGAGAAAAGGGAATGATTATACAGTGATGGTGGGAATGTAAGGTAGTTCAGCCATTGTGGAAAGCAGTGTGGCCATTTCTCAAAGAACTCAAAGCAGAAGTGCCATTCAACTCATCAATCCTACTATTGAGTATATACCAAAAGAAATACAAATCATTCTACCATAAAGACACATGCACGTGTATGTTCATTGCAGCACTTTTCACAATAGCAAAGACATGGAATCAACCTAAATGCCCATCAGTGGTAGACTGGATGAAGAAATGTGGTAGATATACAACATGGAATACTATGCAGCCATAAAAAGAATGAGATCATCTCTTTTCCAGCAACATGAGTGGAGCTGGAGGCCATTATCCTAGAAAACCCAATACCATATGTTCTCACTTATAAGGGGAGCTAAACATTGAGTACATATGGACACAAATGGAACAACAGACACTGGGCCTACTTTAGAGTGGAGGGAGGAAGGAGGATGAAAATTTAAAAATTACCTACTGGGTACTATGCTTATTATCTGGGTTATGAAATAATCTACACACCAAACCCCGTGACACACAATTTACCCATATAAATGCGTAAGTAACCCACATGTGTACCCCTGAACCTAAAATAAAAGTTAAAAAAAGAGAAAAGTAAATGTTCTCAGTATTAAAAAGCTATGTTTTTGTTGACAATTATGTAAATTTCTACATTTATTTTTTGAAATCTTTTAATTTTCATTTTGGTTACCTGTTATCATACTCTGATAAAGTGTTTTAAACTGTTTGATGTTTTTGACAAACTTCCCAAAATAATATTTTAAATTAACTCTTTTTGCCCTCAAGTTAATTTTGATATTTCTCATTTGGACCCCTGGAAAGATCAAAGAATGTGTATCTCACATTGTAAAGAGATATATTAAACTAATGAGACTTACTTGATATATTAAATTATATAGGGAGTATTGTCAAATACTAAGTGGTGCTAAACCTTCTTTAAGTTGTATTTCAGAATGTTATTGATATGTGTTACAAAATTATATTGAATTCTTCAAAATCTGATATGTTATCGGTCATAATCTTGGTTATTATCTTCAAGTTTTGTATGCCACAGAAATAAACAAATTTCTTTGTCAATTACATTATTATTATAATAAACTCCATGAGATTTTTAACCATGGCCACTCTAAGTCTGTCATCCACAGGGACCGACTGCTTTCATTCTTTTCGAAAAGCATTTGCCATCAGCTACAATAAAAAATTGCTTCTTCTCTGAAACTGATGACCCATTAAGGTTTAACCCATATACTCCTCTATATACCTCTACAGCCTCCCCAAATCAAGTTGATATATTCCCCTAGCAGTCTGTGCAATGGAGACCAACACTACATTCTTTTAGATTGTTTTAAATTACATTTTTGAACTTCCAGTTTATTACATACCAAGAGTTGATTACAACCTCCTTGTTTCATAAGTGGAAGCTATGTTAGGGTTGGATGTGGGTGCCATAATTTCTTCAAGGATCCTGGACAGAGACCCACATCAGGATCAGAAACCCTACGATAGCATTGCAGATCTCATGGCTCACTAATCCTTGAAGATTATAATTTTCATCCTACTATCAGTTGCACTTTCTGTCACTTTTACTGCATTAAGTCTCCCGGTATCAAACAGAGCTCTGTGGTGTCACTGACTGAGGAATGGAATAGAGATGTCCACAAGGGGTCTTGATATCATGACTGCACAGAGATGTGAAAGGAGAGACCACTTCCTCACCACCCAGCTACTTCACTTCTCTCCCGGTATCAGCCCTATAGTCGGACCTAGGCTTTCAGAAGTGTAAGTGTGCAAACAAGTTTCGGTTGGACTTTAAGAGGACACTTTGTCATAGAAGAAAATCCAGTATCTCTAAGCTGGTTTTCTTTTCAGGAAAACATCCTGAGGGACCAGTAAGCAGGGAGATCCTTTTTCTAGTTTGCCTGTAGAGTTAGGAAGACAGTTGATTTTTCAGTCTTTTACAGGATGCTTAAACAAAGCTGTGTAATTACATAAGGTGGATCTTTATCTTGCCTAAGAAGATAAAGTGGGAAT
Organism: Homo sapiens; assembly: GCF_000001405.40. Classification (NCBI taxonomy): domain Eukaryota; kingdom Metazoa; phylum Chordata; class Mammalia; order Primates; family Hominidae; genus Homo; species Homo sapiens. The sequence goes on along the minus strand of NW_025791777.1, from coordinate 408,908 downwards.
CTTCACTCCGCCAGGGCAAATTTCCAAGGAGCTCATTTATTCCATGTCTTTCAAACTTTCATGAGATACATTTCTCTTTCACATTGTTGCTGATTTCCAAACAGCTGTCAGCTAGTTTTTTCCTCCCCCTTTCCTATTCTTCACTATTTTGATAGCAAAGCTCATAGAATTAGAGGACTTAGAAGATGCTTTGTAAACATTGCCACAAAGGAACTGCTGAAATGATTCACAGGAAGACTGGTCAGTTGGGAGAAAGATCCTAAAGATGTTACACTGGTTTTCAACAACATGCTTAGAGAATTCTTGAAGCAGATAGGTGTCAACCCAGTGAAAACAACATTTTGATTTATTTTTTTTTTTAAGTTTATGGTGATTGTGTCGGTTTCTAAAATAAGCAAATATTCAAGTCAAGAGATGTTTTGTTTTTTCTTCTGCCAAGAATGGGGTTAGGGGAGCAAAGACACAATTTGGGAAAGGACATATGTGCTATTATAGGGATCACCTTTAAGTTTCTGGGAAGGAATGGGCACGGGTGAGTAGGTTGGCTCAACATTGTCCTGCACTGCTTATTAGGACCTGAGACGTGCAAGGGAAATGTGGGTGACATCAGGGCACCCAGGGCACAGCCCCACTAACTGCTGTGCTGAGTTTCTGTAGCCTGCCACGTTTCCCTTGGTGAAGTAAATGAAGATCAAGGAGTCATTTTATGATGTCCTGGTGCTGAGAATAATAAATGTCTTGTTACAAACAGATGTAACAATGGTTTTTTTCTGGATTATTATCAGGGTGGTCAGCTCTGGGTTAAGCACCCACATCCAATTTGTACAATAATATTGATACATAGGGCTACGCTTATTACTGCTCAAGCATTCTGTTTTAATAATTGTGTTTTACTTCTAAAGGTTAAATAAAAGCAAAAAATGGGGCTAAACTATCAAACTGTTCCCCTATTTGTTTTCTCCAGTGTACAACATATATATGTATATATTTTATTTTATTGAAGATGCAGTAGGATACCTGCCATTTAAGAAAATAAATAGAAAATTTAAAATCCCAACAAATGAGAAAAAGAAATTCAGTACCCAAGAATAGGGCTGGTCCAGCACCACCCCGAAGTAGGCTGTGGTTTATGGAGTGAAGAGCCTTGCTCCCTTTACATTCGCTCATGCTCCCACACAAGGCTAGCAGTAGAAATGCTTGAATTCTGCTTGGCTTGCCAAGGGGACTCAGGAGTCAACCAAGGGAACTATTTGGCTCCACGAGGAATGGACACCTCAGGATGCTTCCTGAACAGGGCCTAGTCAGGAAGTAGCCTGGATGTGCATAGTCATGGTCACCTTATGAAAATGTGTGGCAGGTGGCTCTCGGGAAAAACACCAAGCCTGGATCATCTGTGTGGCAGCTTTGCCTGGGGAGGTAACAGCTCCAAATTGAAACTGAACTGCATCCTACATGCTTTACCAAAGCAGTGATGAGAGTGATCAGTGCATGTGGTGTGAGTGGTAGGTTTAAAAAAAAGGGAATGTTTTGTTTTTTTTTTTTTTTTTGAGACGGAGTCTCGCTCTGTCGCCCAGGCTGGAGTGCAGTGGCGGGATCTCGGCTCACTGCAAGCTCCGCCTCCCGGGTTCACGCCATTCTCCTGCCTCAGCCTCCCAAGTAGCTGGGACTACAGGCGCCCGCCACTACGCCCGGCTAATTAAAAAAAAGGGAATGTTTTACGCTCAGTGTTTCCTCTGTCTTTGGGCTACTCAATCTGGACAATAGGTAACCATTCTTTTCAAGGAATCAACCCAACTTTGCTGGCTTGGTTTGTGGTTTGTTTCATCCCTAGCTATGAGCATGCTTTGGTCTATAAACGTGGCTTGTCTCATAATACATTCCCTTTCTGTAATTTTTTAAATTTTTTATTTCCATAGGTTTTTGGAGAACATGAGGTATTTGGTTACATGAGTAAGTTCTTTAGTGGTGATTTGTGAGATTTTGGTGCACACATCACCCGAGCAGTATACACTGAACTCAATTTGTAGTCTTTTACCCCTCATGCCTTTCCCACTCTTTCCCTTGAGTCCCCAAAGTCCACTGTATCATTCTTATGCCTTTGCATCTTCATAGCTTAGCTCCCACTTAAGAGTGAGAACATGCAATGTTTGGTTTTCCATTCCTGAGATACTTCACTTAGAATAATAGTCTCCAATCCCATCCAGGTTATTATGAATGCCATTAATTCATTCCTTTTTATGGCTGAGTAGTATTCCATCACATATATGTATTTATGCATATATATATATATACATATGCATATATATATATACATATGCATATATATATACATATACATACACACACACACACACACACACACACACACACACATAAATATATACCACAGTTTATTCACTCATTGATTCACGGGCATTTAGGCTGGTTCCACATTTTTGCAATTGCTAATTGTGCTGTTATAAACGTGCATGTGCAAGTATCTTTTTTGTGTAATGACTTCTTTTCCTCTGGGTAGATAACCAGTAAGATTGCTGGATCAAATGGTAGTTCTACTTTTATGAATTGTCCTTGTTTTTCTTTAAAAGTTAATACTTTTGATCACTATAGTTTGTTAGTGTTGGATTGTTTCCACTTTGAAATTTCTAAACTTTTTCCCTTCATAATGTTAAAACAAGTTATGTTAGATGCCCTTTCAACATGAAAGGTCTGTAGTTAAGATATTACATATATTTTATTGTTTATAATAAAAATCTAGACATAAGAAGTGCCAAGTGTTAATTATAATATTTTGCACAGTATCTTTTTTCCCATGATGTGTTAATATCTACAATTTCATTAAATGTTGATGTTATTCTCTATTGAGATTCAGAAGCCTAGGGAGCTATGTGTTCATTTTGGTTATTTTTGTTGTTATTTCCCTGAAGCAAAAGACTACATGGCCTTCAGTGCAACAACCTCAGTCCAATTCTGAAGTTTATTATACTTGCTTGCCTCTTGGCTATTTAACTTCTGAGTGCAAATCATTGAACTCCCTAATGAAGTATTGTAGAGAATAAATTAAAATGAATAAAGAAAAATACTTCCTCTTCAAGGAGGTTCATGAAAAGGACTCTAACAAGTATGCTGGAATTTAGATTTCTTATGAGTTTAAGATTATACCACTGGACTGGGAAAGAATTTCCAGGACTCTAATGAAGAAACGATGGCTTCTTAAAACATCTAACCCAGATCAAGTAGAATAAGTTTAATGAATGGGACTAAACAAACTGATGGCAATATTTTCGAGTGACTTTTTGTTTAACATTTTGCTGTTTTTTTTAAATTTTTTGTTTTCCAGATTTGAGAAAACTTTTAAAAAGCTATCTATAGCATACAGCAATTTGGTAAAGTATACTTTTATAAATAAAAATGGAAATATTTATTTTTTCTTCCTACCTGCGGCTGCAGTCTTCAGAGAGCTCTTATTGATATTTTTATTTTATGGCAACATAGTTATTTGCATTAATTCAATAAAAATCTATTCTCTTTGTAACAGGATAGAATTACAAACATTGGTTATATTATAAATGGTTTGACTTGAATGTGATATTTGAGACTATGCACAGGATGCCTAGCTTCAAGGATTCCCAAGCTCACAGTGAGTGAATAAACATTTTTACCTCTTGACAGGCCAGGAACCTCCAGATATATTGGAGACCTCAAGAAGAGAGAAATTCATGCAGATTTTTAGATACTGCAGCCAAAGTCTGATGTTCGCCCTCCTTTGACTTCTGACCCTTGAAAGGCTTTTAAAAGTCTAATCTGAGATTTCTTATCAAAAGTTCCGTCAAAATAAACTTAAAAACAGCCCATGTTTCATCCCTTTTCTTGCTATACTGTTGTCAATAATCATGCCAAGTTTAATGAGACTAAACTTATTCAGCAGACAAATTAGTCTTACTCTGATTATCTTTAGTAGAAATAGGGATGATTGTACAGAGAAAAATTATGTTTCTGAAGAAAAACTGCAGTACACCTGTTAGTAGATTGTAGTTTTCTTTGTTGTTTTCAAGTTTTTGTCATCTATCTCTAAATTAGACAGGGCACTTAATTATTCTAATTTCCTCCAACGTCTGGCTACGATTCTCCAACTAAGAACATAAACTGCCTTGTTCCTAAAGTCCTATAAGTTGGAGCCAGAAAACTCCATGTAAATTTCAAGAGAGAAATCTCATGGCTATTGTGTGGGCTACAAAGAGAATTGACTAAAATGCCCCATGCTATACCCAGGAACATTCAAACTACAAACCAGAGTAAGAAGTTGATGACATCACAGTGTGGAAAGCTTTTCCCAAGACATTGTAACAAAACTGGACTCTTATCCTTCTTATTTTTTTTTTTTTCTTGCTTATGCCTACATTTTTCACTTGGCAGAATAACGCTGTGGTTAGAATTTCACATTCAGTAGCTTCCGTAACTGAATGAAGTTTTGGATCTGTCGTGTCAAACCCACATCTTTACATGACCTAAGGGATCCTTTAGTCCACCCAGTGGGTAACTATGGCAACATCCCTAATTTATTTGCCACCTTGGGTTTCGTTGCAGGCTTCACTGCAAAGGCTATTGCTGCCCAGCAGTGCTCATTAAAGTATCTTGCTGAGTAGCCGTAGATAACACAACAGGACAGGATGAGATAACTCTCAATTATCTACTGGTTGAACAAGAATGTCTGTGCCATTGCTAATAACTACATGCTGTACCTGAATATATTTCTCTGGGGAAGTCAAGACCTAATTGCATAAAATAGCAAGACAGGCTTTATGGCTACAACAGATCTCACTCAGTCTCACATAGACTTTTGATTCATTAGTTGGCTGCCTTTGGGTCCATGTTCATAGACAATATTTCATGTTACTATTAATTTTGTACCGCATCATTCTTTTTAAACTTTTTATCTGTTTCCTGTCCAACCTCTGCAGAAATGATGCATCTAACAGAATAACACTGGTCCAGAACTTCCAAATGGTAGTCAATGCCTATGGAACTGACAAAATTGAACTTAGCAATGAACTCCAGGCAGATTTATCCTGAGAGCCACTCCTTCTGAACCTCTTTGTTTCTTAAATGTGACTAAAAGGGTTTTGACATCTGCTCTTAGTTGCTGGCCATTCACCTCTGATGCAGGATCAGACTAACTAGGAAAGGTCCACTCCAGCACCAAGAAACAATCAAAACCTAACTATAGGCTGATTAATCAGCAATGCTTTCAGAAAAAATTCTTGGTCAAAGGGGGGAAATGTTAAAGTTACAAGCAAAGAAGTTGACTCACTGAAGTCAAACCACAACAAAATGGAGCTGGGAGAGTATAAAAGAAGGCCCTTCATGCATGGATGTCTCTAAAAGAACTATTGCAAGGACTCCCTGAAAACTACAAAAATTTTAGATACGACGCTTCTATGAAGACATCTTCCCAGCAATAGCCAGTATCACCGATGAGTATTTGTCCATACCAAGCAATAAGCTTCTGGGGCCAAAGAGGTTTATTTTAAAATAATTTACATGAACTTCACCTTTTTTTTTCTTTATTTCTTCTTCTTCTTCAAAAAACAAACAAAAGTGATATATGTGCAGAACGTGCAGGTTTGTTACATAGGTATACGTATGCCATGGTGGTTTGCTACACTTTTCAACCTATCATCTAAGTTCCCTCCCCTCACCCCGCAACCTCCAACAGGCCCCAGCGTGTGTTGTTTCCTTCTCTGTGTCCATTTGTTCTCAATGTTCGAATCCCACTTACGAATAAGAACATGCGGTATTTGGTTTTCTGTTCCTGTGTTAGTTTGCTGAGGATGATGGCTTCCAGTTTCATCCATGTTTCTGCAAAGGACATGCTCTCATTCCTTTTTTATAGCTGCATAGTATTCCATGGTGTATGTGTACCACATTTTCTTTATCCAGTCTAACAGTGATGGGCATTTGGGTTGGGTCCATGTCTTTGCTATTGTAAATAGTGCTGCAATAAATATATACACGTATGTTCCCTTACAGTAGAATGATTTATATTCCTTTGGGTATATACCTAGTAATGGGATTGCTGGGTCAAAAGGTATTTCTAGTTCTAGATCCTTGAGGAATGCCCATACTGTCTTCCACAATGGTTGAATTAATTCACTTTCCCACCAACAGTGTAAGAGCATTCCCATTTCTCCACATCCTCTCCAGTATTTATTGTTTCCTGACTTTTTAATAATCTCCATTCTAATTGGCGTGAAATGGCATCTCATTGTGGTTTTGATTTGCATTTCTCTGGTGATCAGTGATGTTGAGCTTCTTTTGTATGTTTTTTGGCCACGTAAATGTCTTTTTTTGAGACGTGTCTGTTCATATCCTTTGCCCACTTTTTGATAGCGTTGTTTGTCTTTTTCTTGTAAGCATGTTTAAGTCCCTTGTAAATTCTGGATATTCGATCATTGTCAGATGGGTAGATTGCAAAAATTTTTTCCCAGTCTGTAGGTTGCTTGTTCACTTTGATGATAGTTTTTTTTTTTTTTTGCTGTGCAGAAGCTCTTTAGTTTAATTAGATCCCATTGTCAATTTTGGCTTTTGTTGCAATTGCTTTTGGCATTTTTGTCATGAAGTCTTTGCCCACCCTGCCTATGTCCTGAATGTTGTTGCCTAGGTTTTCTTCTAGGGTTTTTACGGTTTGGGGTTTTACATTTAAGTCTTTAATCCATCTTGAGTTAATTTTTGTATAAGGTGTAAGGAAGGGGTCCAGTTTCAGTTTCCTGCATATGGCTAGCCAGATTTCCCACATTATTACTGAATATGAGATCCTTTCCCATTGCTTGTTTTTGTCAGGTTTGTTGAAGATCAGGTGGTTGTAGACGTGTGGTGTATTTCTGAGGTCTATGTTCACCTTCATTGGTCTATATGTCTGTTTTGGTACCAGTTCCATGCTGTTTTGGTTACTGAGGCCCTGCAGTAATGAAGTCAGGTAGTGTGATGCCTCCAGTTTTGTTCTTTATGCTTAGGATTGTCTTGGCTATATGGGGTCTTCTTTGATTCCATATGAAATTTCAAATAGGTTTTTCTAATTCTGTGAAGAATGCCAACGGTAGTTTGATGGGGAACTTCACCTTTTACCCTTAAAAAAGCTTCGGCTCCCCCAGCTTTTTCAAATGTGCCTATGGTTCAGTACGGTACACATATCCCAAATTGCAGTTCATTGCTCTTCCCAGATAAACTATTTTGAAAAGTCAGTCTCTCTGCTGTTTATTTTAATAATTTTTAATAGAAGTACATCTTTCTTAAAAGCATAGCAAAAATTTTAAGTACATTCACAATAATAATAATTAGGAAACAAATGATCATTGCTTTGATTTTAAGAATTATTAATTTCTTTAATTTTTCAAGTTGAAATATAGAACATGTTTTATTTAGTTACCAATTTATTTCTGTATTTTTCATGAAACAATTTACTTTGGTAAGAAATTTCAAGGAATCTGTGGCATAAATACATATTTGGTCAATGTTCCTTGACCCAAAGTATTAAGGCTGGGTTGTATTTAATTCAGTGACTAAGTAATTTAGTCAGGTTATTCAATAAATTAATGAGGTAATAATCTATAAATTGTTATAATCTGTAAATCTATAAATCATATGTAAAATTGTATTATAAAAAGCAAATGAGTCTTTCTAACAATAGCTAGTTCCGACAATAAAATAACTTCACTTTTAGTTAGCAAGCCCGTATTACATTTCTAAATATTGAAGTCTGTGCAGTAGTTAATGAACTTTTAGTCAATTATTGAGAAAAAAACTTTTAGTACAGTAGAAGATATAAAAAACATGATTGAGCTCAATTTCTCTTTTTTAAAAAATCACTGATTTCTTGGTCAAACTTTTGCTTCTTTTGGAACTTTTGAACTTTGTGGCCATGTGAAATGGCACTCTGAAACTTCTAGTAGACTCAAATTGAGGTAACTTTCTTGCTCACGACAATTTTATGTCCGGTTTCTAATATAAGCCATTATTTCTAACACATGCCATGGTTCCATGTTTGAACTAATGTTAATACCACCTGCCCCTACATGACTGAGTCTGAGCACATCCCTGGGCCACATCAAGCACCATGGCAGATTAATCATTCCTTATGGTTTTAACAGGCAAGCTGGGGAAAAAAAATAACTGTCTCCTCCAACTTTGGTTATGCGTGAGTTTCTTACCTTTTAATGGTGAAAAATAAACTTATCTGTCATAGGAGAAAATAACATTACACTCATATGGAAGCAGAGGTGAGAAGTGAAGCCTTAGTAGTGATGTCATCGTTGCCAATTACTGAAGCCAGGAAGTTAGGAATCATCAGTCTTTTTCTTTTGAATTAATGTGACAGTAGTCGAGAGAGAGAAAAAAGTAGGCATGCTGTATGTTATTTAGAGGATAAGATCTATAGATTTGAAATTGATTTGGCATAAACCCACAGGAAAGTGAAGAATCAAGCATGTATTCTAAGCTTCTGGCTTGAGCAAGTGAGCAATCAGCAACATCAGCCCTATGACTTACTAGATTTTTACTGAGGTATACTTTGTAATGTAATAGCTGCGAGAAACTGAATATCATTGAAATTTAGAAAAGGTTATGACAATGTCATTGGGTTAATAGATAGCCTTTTCTTACAAAGATTTGTAAAAAATGAGAGGCCCTAGACATTTGCTGTGTATATTATGCATAAAAATACCACCTCCAGTGAATTCGTTTGGAAAAGAAACTCAAAGCAAGGCCAGACAAAGGAAACAAAAAGAAAAGAAACGAAAGGGAAAGGACAGGGAAGAAAAGGCAAGAAAAAACAAGACAGACAAAAAATTGGAAAAATATGACAGAGAGAGCAAGAATTGTATATATCATAATTTTATAATATTTTAAATTTATAAAATTATTTTTTGACTTTTTTTAATTCAAGAAGACCCTGGATATAAGTCCATCAGTATATAAATAATTGCTAAGAACTGGGACTAAATTTTAAATAAACTACACTGTTGAAAAAGCCAATATTTTCAAGAAAATTGACCAAAAGGTATCCTTGTCTTCATTTCCACTGACATCTTATGACTGCCATATTTTTTCAGCTATGGCTCTTTTTCTACCAATGGCATGTCACAAAAATGTGTGAACCTCTGGTCACTCTAATTAGTCATACCAATATTGCATAATTTTACCTCAGAATGTTTTTTCCAACTACATTCTTTCTCCAGGGGCATTTATATTCAATGTTTTTTCCAGGGGCATTTACATTCTGAATACCGTGCCTCAAAGTCAAACTGGTTAGCATTACAATCTTGTCTGGTATTATATATGCATTTATTAATGTACAAATTGACCTCATAAATAGAATATATTTGTCAGGAGTTTTAGGTCTTGTGTTCCCAACACCTAACAATAGATACTTGTTGAATAAATTATGAAAGGGAAAAATAATTTTTAAGAAATTTTGAAAACTTAAAAAGGAAACAAAGGTGCCACAATGGAAACAAAATTTCACTTTTTTTTCTCTGAGTTTAGAGTAAATCTCAGATTCAAACACATCTGAGGATGTACAATTATCAATTATGTAATTCCAAGGGAAAGTAATTTGTACTTACAGGTTAGATATGATAATCAATTCACTTAATTCTACTCGTTTCCTTTAAAAAAAAAAAAAAGAGGCTGTCAGAAATAATACATCACAGTAAAACCTCCTATCAAACAAGAAAAGATTGTATTTGGGAAAACATTTTCATAGACCTAAATTGAGTAATGTTTCCAACTTACATTTCACCAGTTAAGCTTCCCATTAGAAAATGTGTTTGTATGACACCAGTTCCACTTGCATTTTTTTCCCATAGGTTTCCCAGCAGACGTTTACAATCCTTTAGTGATGTTATAGCCAGAATTGTATTAGGTAATAATATAAAATCCCTAAATTTTATGTACAAACCTTCACTGATATTTTTAGTTATCATGAAAGAATCCTTGTATTTATTTCTATTCTAATTCTCCTCATGTCATTGGTATTTTATATGTATTCATTGTAAACATGTGTTGAATGTTCTAAATTTATACAAGCAAAACAATGTACATATTCTAGAGCTTAATATTTTCCCTCTCCCTGTTTTTTTTTCCGTGGCTTTCTCTTGCTTTCACTATTGCAAACTCTGACCCTGAGAGGCAAGAGTCGTGACCATTTAGTAAGATGTATCGTTGAGTATCATAAAATAGTTGGATAGTCTGCTATTTTTTTATAGTAGCAAAAATAGAATGTTCATATGCTTGCCCACGATTTTTATACATTTTTAAATTTGTCTACCACATGCCTAAATTTACCAAATTAAGTCCGTGTATATAAAACATTTGCACAAATGTTACTCAAGTTGTCTGAAATAAAAATACATGTATTTTGCAATTTAGAGCACATGACACTAAAGATGTATAGCTCCGTTAACTCACCTTCTGAACAAATTTCAGCAAGAAATTTCAGAATGAATATAAAAAAGTTAAGAAATATTCTAATATATAGTAGCTGAAAAGTTTACAGAAGTAAAGAAGAAAGACACAAATTAGTAGATTCTGAAGAATTATCTATACGAACCCATAACTATTCTCTTTATTTTGGATATTCTATTGTTTCCTTATAATTTGTTTATAAGTTTCCTTATAAATAAACAAATTATAAGGAAACAGTGGAATATCCAAAACAGAATATGCAAGCCAATTAACAATCACCATTTTTACCAACAAAAATATTGAAAGTCAGAAAATTGTGGAATATCTTTGAAGTGCTAATAAATGATAATGGCAAATCTAGAATTTTATGTCAATTAGATTTAGAATTCAAGAGCAGATCAAAATAGAGACATCTTCAGACAATCCAAAAACTGAGAGTTTACTACCAAGAATAGTAACTTTTACAGTATGTACCATAGAATAAAGGATAATTAACTGGATGTAAATTCCAAAATATTAGAAGAAGAAAGGATGTGAAAAAACATATATAAGCAGTCACAATTTTATTTAACAAACACACCAACAATATGTGATTTGTGGGAATAAGAAAAACAACATGAATATAAAATAATGAACAATTTGTAGCAAATATTTTTAAATAATTGCAATTAAAGAGCCCTAAGACTTTGTATTGTTTGGGCTTGGTGTTAGTAAACTTTATATTTTATGTTAATAATGTTTATTAGAATATCAAAATTGCCTAGCAAAAGAAAACTGATAATGTGAATAATTTCCAAAATAAAAGAGATAAGTTACAAAAAATGTTAAAGTAAACAAATGCAAAACAAGGCAAAAAAAAAAAAAAATCAAAGTGAGAAAGACCAGCAAAGTGAATAAAAGGAAGAAAATATGACTTTAAATATAAAAAAATAAATAAATGAAAACCTAAAAAATAACATGCAAGTTGCCAAAAGAAAACGATTTACTTGACTGAATAAAGGTCGTTAAAGGATTTCTTCAGCTGGTGAGCACCAGGCAAACCTGAAGACTAGGTGGTTCCAGACTGAAGTAGGATCAGGCGTCTAACAGAAGTCTGTGGAGTATGCCTGGTTTAGGCTGGACAGATATTTTCTGCTTTAACTGAAGTTGAGTTTAGGTTTTTGGGTTCTTTTCTGTTTGTTTTTGTTTTATCTGTTTATGTTCCACTTTCAGAGTCTCATTATCCATCAGAACAATATTATATGAGAACAGTCTTTGCAGTTGATGGGCTAACCACGTTCCCTGGGTGGGGCAGGGGAAGTAGACAAGAATAGGAATGAAGTGGATGTAAAGGAAGAAGGCAAGGGGCGGGGGATTATTACCCTCTAGTATGTTTGTTTTAATCGCTTTACACGGTTACTAGTTTTCAAATTTACTAAATATTTTATATGATTCAAATCATTAACTGAGAAATTTCTTTCAAATTCAGTGCTCTTTGCAAAGTACTGGCTAGATGTTGGAATCCAAAAATGAACTGTGAAAAAAGGCCCGTGTCCTCAGGAACTTATGTTCAGAAGAAATGGAAAAACAAAATTAAATAAGTGGATAAATACATGTGTGTTGTTTTACTAAGACCTTATTTATTAAATATTTTGCTAAGCCTATAATATTAAATCAGCTATTTATATATCTCTATATAACAATGGTTCTAGAGTCAGGAGGTTAACCTTGTGGATTCCTCAGTGACCTTGAGTAATCACTCAACCAAAATACATTTGTATTTAAATACGAACATAAGTTCGAACATTACGTTGTTACCCTAGCCACTTCACAAAATACGTTCGAACACTAGGTTGTTACCCTAGACACTTCACAAAATATTTGAAAAACACATGGATAGACAATTTGATGATTCTATAAATCTGGTAAATGAATTAGAAATATTATAAAAGGTTTTTCTGAGAGGATACCATCGAGCAAAAAGAAAATGACTAGCATTTGACACTATGTAACTTTAAATCTATATTTCAGGGACCTCTGTCACTTTCTTGGGGAATTGAATCACCTATTCCTACTTAGCAGCATGAAAATGAGTTGAATCTCCAGGTTATAGCATTTGAAGGCATGCCTGAGAGGAGCAGATTCAAAAATCAACAGGTGGTTGATGTTTTCTGTGGGGAGCATTCCTGCCTCAGTCCTGCTGCTGTGACCCATTCCTAAACAGCTTTGGGGTCTACAGTCCCCCTTGGTACCTGCTGGGGATTTGTTCCAGGACCACCACCAATCCTACCACCATCATCCCTTCATAGCAAAAGCCAGAGATGCTCAAGTTTCTTATATAAAATGGCCTAGTATTTGCATATAACTTACACACACCCTCTTGTATACTTTCTATCATTTCCAGATTACTTACATTAATAATACTGAATACAATATAAATGCTATGCACATAATTGTTATAAGGATTGTTTTTTATTTGCATTGTTTTATTGTTGTATTTCTTTTTAAAAATTATTTTTGGTATTTCTTTTAACAAATATGTTTGATTCATGGTTAGTTAAATCCACCCACAATGGGGGTATGGAGGGTCAGCTGTATTCAGGAATTTGCATTAACAGACTTAAGAGCCTAGTAGATTCTTTGCTTAAATGAACTCTGTGCAGACACAGCATTCAACATTTCTATTTTGATACTTTAAGCAGACTGCAGTGTTTGACAAGCTATTTCAGTAATATGCAATAATCTTTACAAAATAGACATAGATGTTCTGTGACCCCAAATTCTCTGAAACTCTAAACTCAATTATTGAATCTATAGTGGTGTTTCTGATCAGATTACAAGATGAAGGAAGCAATGGAACTTGGCCTAATGTAATGAAAAATATTGCTATCTCTCCACTGATTATTTTGGATGATGGGAGAGCTGTATAGCCATTTAACTAAAGAGGAATCCTTTCAGGAACTACTCTGAAGTACTTTAAGAGATGGAGTTGCTGAAGAAAAAAGATTGAAAACAATTGGCTTAGCTGTTCAGAGCATGGCAAGAATGTAACTATAATCTGTCATTGTGTGGGCAGACAGATGGCCTGAAAATTGAATAAATTGGAAATCACTGGAAGGCAGCTATTTTGTCCTTGAGTGCATTAGGTATCTTGGAAAAATGTTATTAAATGGTGAACAATTGCTATCGAAAAGTTTCTAGTTGTTTGGAACATAGAGTTACATAAAGTCAAGATTCTATTATTATTCTAATAATAGATAAAATCCGAATGTAAAGAAAATGTTTCCTATGAACTATGTAATTTAATTCTTATCAGAGCAATACTTTAAACAATTATTTGATTAGCCTGTGTTTGTGAATGTATATAAAGTAAGCAATAACCTTATTTTCTCCTCTTTGTAATTTAATTCATTAGAAATTGAGAATCTCAGACTTCTCTCCAGCCCTATTAAATCTGCATCTTCATTTCCAGGTCACTCATACACTGTTTAACTTTGAGAAGCACTGTTGTATATTGTCTTGAGAGTCCACACTATGAAATAAATTGGCCCTTATTTACTCCTCAATTGAAATTCTTCAGACTTTCTTAAAGTTTCTAAATAAGTCCCAGTTAGTGGAAATGAACTGAATTTAGTTTAATTTTTTTTATCATGCATTGCTGTCCAAAAGAAGAAAGCTTATTTCTGCCAACTTCTTCTTATCCTCAACTTCCAACCACTGTCACGTCTGTCTTCTTTCTTTTTAATATTTTCAGGTGAATTAGAGGTTTGTCAACCGTAAGAATGAAATATATGGTTTATGGCCTATTTTTATGTAACTGGTCATTCTGAGATCTGGAAAACACTACCTGTGTTTATCTGCAACTAAAATCTAGACACCTGAGCCTACACTGCATAGCGAAACAGGTCACTAGAAAAACACAAGCAATTTAGAAAGGCTTTTAATATTGAACAGTTGCATTTTGTTTCTATTCATGTCTATCGCTTTCTCTTTTTTATTCTAAATTGCTTTATTATATTCTATATTTAATATTCTATCATTAACATGTCAATGACAGTCAATAATAATTGAGGACTCAGGTTTTGTCAATACACTGATTTATAATTAGTACAATATGTTATGAGTTTCCTTCGCACATTAATATTATCAGCTCTTCATTTTTTGTTGTTCACAATATATCTTCAACTACCTTTTTATTTTTAGGCAATGTACATATTACAATTTAAGAATAACATCTTCTTTGTTAAATATTTATTTCCACCCCTTTTCAGAAAATTAGATGGTTTACATTTATTGTTAGAAATAATATAAAGCTTTTCTGGTTTTGTGCTTCTAAATAATATTATTAATATATTCTTTTGTAATTACAAAAGCTCCTTGTTTTTGTTTTGTAATTCCTTTCTCAATAAAATAGAGCTGCAAATATTTTGTTCCTTTAAATATTTCAAATAAATAATTTTCATTTATAATAAAAAATATAAAATATGCCAAAGAATTTATTATTTCAAAAAATATGTCATTCACCAATTTGCTTTTAGATTTGTGAATACAGTCTCATTTTATTTTAATACTTTAATCATAGATCTTAACTTTTTTATAATTAATTTTAATTTGTATTTAACATGGTAATAATATTTTTACTTAATTTTATATTGTTGGGTTAGTAGTCACTGTTAGTACACATAACTATTTTACTTTTTCAACATGTAATTTTCATTAATCTTATTCAGATAAAGTTCATTTTCACTATTTTTCTTCAATTGGAAATATTTCATATTTTAAAGACTTCCATTCCTAACAAATGTGGAATACAACATTTTTAGCTCAAAATATTTTTCAAAACAAAACAGAATTTTTCCAGTCTTCACATATAAAACTAAAGCAACAAGCTCAAGTCTATCCAGACATTTTATACTTCAGAAACGAAAATACTAATCTTACGTGTTTATGGCGGATGTTTTTCTTATAATTTTAGTTAAAAAATATTTGTAGAAGGTTTTTATAGTAATATAGTCAGAAAATTAGTCTGCATTTTTACCTACAAATTAAGCAGTATTTTAAAAATTAGCTCAGGAAATTTTATTTTATATTGTATTTTAGTCTGCATTTGAATGATATTTAAATTCTTAGATTTTCACTTTAGATGTGGGAACTCCGGTGCTTAATTCTATCCTCTTTAATTTTATATCTGTGATTTCTTCTGCTTTGTTTTCAGTTCTATTTTTTTCCTGCACTGCAAAAGAGTTTCTAAAGATTGTATTTAATATTACAAGCTTCATTTAGTGCTCTATCATTTGGCATTTACATTTTTACATAGTTTTAAAATTATATATATTTCTTTGTATTTTTTATCTAATTTTATACAATTTTAAAAATCATGCACCTCTAATATCTATTGACTAGGTTTAGCTTTCATTTCAGAGATAACATTAATAGTGAAAAATATTATCTTAAATGCAAAGATATTCATTATTTAAAAATTGATCAATGACATTCACTAAATTATCACAGGGACGAAAACATAAAATGATCATCTGTAGAGATGCAGAAAAATAATTTGACAAAATTCAGCACTGATTTATAAGAATTATCAGCAAAATAAGAACAGAAATGAAAATTGACCAACAACCAGAAATGACAGCAACAACAAAATACCAAGTCAGTAAAGATGGAGAGAAATAGGGAAGCAGTGAAGGTAGATGTCATTTCTGTTTTTAGTGGTGGAGTACAAGGTGTTCTTGTGCTTAAAGGTCATGTTCTTGTGATAAAACGCACTGCAGAGACAACACAGTTTAATTGGCTGAGGCAGGTGACTCCCTTTAAGCATCAGGGTGGAACAAACTACACGACAAAATGTAATTTTAAAGACCACTCTCATTCAAATGTAATAATATCAAAGCACCCTTAACTCATTAATGAGTGAAACAATGAGTGTCATGGTCTGAACTGTGTTCCCCTCCCCAAACCCGTATGTTCAAGCCCTAACCCCTAGTTATACACATAAGGTAAATGAAACCTCATTTGGACACAAAGTTTTTGCAGATGTAATCAAGCTAAAATTATCTCTGTAGGTGGGACTTAAAATAACATGGGTTGTCTTTATAAGAAGAGGGAACAGAAACAGATAGGATGTGGAGAGGACCATGTGAAGAGAGAAGCTGAGACTGAAAAGGATTTATGTATTAATATTGACAGAAGCCAAGGAACACCATCTGAAGTTCTGACGGCAACATCAGAAGCTAAGAGAAAGGCATGGAAAAGATTCTCACCTAGAGCATCCAGAGGAGAGGTTGGTCCTGCAGACACCTTGTTTTCTGACCTCTGACCTCCGCAACTGTGAGGGAAGAAATTTCTGTTGCTTAAAGACACACAGCTTGTGGTACTTCATTATAGCAGCCCAAGGTAACTAATATAGATGACAAAATTGGTTCCAAGGGTGTTTGAGGAACTGGACCTTTATA
Organism: Homo sapiens; assembly: GCF_000001405.40. Lineage (NCBI taxonomy): Eukaryota > Metazoa > Chordata > Mammalia > Primates > Hominidae > Homo > Homo sapiens. The sequence goes on along the minus strand of NW_025791777.1, from coordinate 392,010 downwards.
GGCATTATTTTCATAATACTGCATTAAGCTATGATAACTGGACTAGATTCAAAATTGGATAATGCCCTAAATGCAATAAAGCTATAATTTTGAGATAAAATTTTAATAGCTTTATGAGATATAATTAACATCTGGTATACTGCACATTTTTGAGGTGTGAAATTTTTAAACATTAACATACGTATATACTTGTAAAACCATCACACTAGAAAGAGATCTCAAGCCTCTTCTTTTGACTTTCAACACATTGTCAATCCAGTACTAATCTGGTTTTATTACCATATATTAGCTTTTATTTTCTACAATTATATATCAGTAGAATTATAGAGTATGAATTCTTTTTGTCTTTTTTCCTTAAGCATAATATTTTTGAGATTCAACAATTTCTTGCATGTTGAAGTAGCACCTTTTTTTATTGTTACGTATTATTTCATTTCATAGACATACCACTATAATTTATTTACTAAACTCTTGACCAGAGGTTCTCAAATGAGGGACATTTTACCTGCCGGGGACATTTCCAATGTTTGGGGACACTTTTGGTTATCAGAGGTTTGTGGAGGAGGGGATAGAGTGTCCACAGGCCAGGGTTCCACAAAGGATAGCTCCCCACAACAAAGAATTAAGCCACTTCAACAGCTAATAGTGCTGAACTTGAGAACGCCGCTCTTGGTGGACAGTTGCATGGTGTCTGTTTTTGACAATAATGAATAAAGGTACTTGTGCAAGCCTTTTTACAGACTTATGCTTTTCTCCCCCCTAGGATAAATGCCTAGGGGTAGAATTGGTACATGTAAGGTAGATTTAGTTATCCAAAGTAGCTGTACTGTGTTACACTCCCACCGTCGATGTATGCAAACTCTAGAGTCTGGTTTCTTGACATCTATGCCAAATATTGGTAACACAATTTTTAAAATAGTAGCTTTTCTAGTAGATGTGTATAATTATCTCATTTTATTTTTTATTACTAACGATATTAAGAAATTTTTCATTTGCTTATTTGCTATTATATCATTTTTGTGTAGCATCTGTTAGTTTTTATAGCTCTCTTGTTTCTATGTTGTACATTATATTTATATATTCTTGCTCTTATTCATAATAAATAGTATATATAATTGTGTAATTAAAAATAAACATTAAAGTATAAATATATTTACACATTTCTGTAGTTTATCATTATATAATTATTGCTTTCTGAATAAAAAGAAATGTATCCACAGTTTGGATAAAAAGAAGTGCTTTCATGTAGTTTACTAAGACATTTTCTGTGCTTTATATTTGAAGCCTATGCTTTCACTTTTACACATTGTTCCATAATATATTTTGGACTCCTTTAATTTTGAACTCATTCACGCTTTTGTTGTGAGGAAGGACTTGAGGTTTGTTTTCTTCACATTTATCTCGTAGTTCTGCACACTTTGTTAAATAAAATTATCTTTCCCCTTTGAATAACTGCAGTATCTTTGATATTATATTATTCATATAAGCATGGATCTATTTGTGAACTCTATTCCATTCCATTACTCTAATTGTTTATCCATCTACTAATAACACATTCTCTCGATGACTATAGCTTTAAGTTATTGCATGGTGTTAGGAAGTGTGAGTATTCCAACTTTTTTTTCAGCTTTCTATCATTTGTTTTTGCTCTCTTGATGTACATTTTTAAATCAGTGTGTCAATTTATATAAAAATATCTTTTGTGATTATGGTGAGGATTTCTAGAATGATTAATTTGGAAAAACCAAAACCTTTTACACACTAAAATTCACTGAACTTTCAAGCCATGATTATTGTATTAGTTTGTTCCGGCATTGCTATAGAGAAATACAGAAGATTCGACAATTTATGAAGAAAAGAGGTTTAATTGCCCCACTGTTCTGCAGGCTATACAGGAAGGATGATGCTGGCATCTACTTAGCTTCTGGGAAGACTCAGGAAACGCACAATCATGGCAGAAAGCAAAGGGGGACAGGCACGTCACATGGCCAGAACAGCAAGAGAGTGAAAGGGGAAGCTGCTACACACTTTTAAATGACCAGATCTCATGAGAACTCACTCACTCACTATTATGAGAACAGTATCAAGAGGGATGATGCTGAACCACTCATGAGAAATCCACCCCATGATCCAATCACCTCCCATCAGGCCTCACCTCTAACATTGGAGATTACATCATACCAGATTTGGGCAGGGACACACATCAAAACCATCAATTATTGTATGCGACTCCATTTATTTAGAACTTTCCTACATCTCCCAACACTTTTGCTAGTTTCCTATTTAGAGAGATCTTGCATGTAATTTGTTAAAATCATATATACATATTTTATTTTTATTAGTATTTTACATGGATTTGATTTTTATCATTAATTGCTCATTGGAAATATATAGAAATAAGTTAATGGGTTGACTTATTTTTTCTATGATGTGGCTAAAATTACTAGTTTATTCCAGCAGCTGATTTTTACAGTCACTAGAAGTTTATGTGTAGGTAATGGAGTTGTTTAAAAATTTAGAATTGTATTTTTCATTTCTTAACTGTGTATGTTTTACTTATTTATTTGATTTGTCTCACTGGTTAATTCCTCCCATACAGTAGAGAGAACAATAGTGAAAGAGGACACTTTGTCTTCTTCTGGATCTTAAATGAATAATTTATTAGTTCAAACTTCAGTGTGATATTTCCGTAGATGCCTTCTATTTGCTTAAGGATGCTTCTTTGTATTCTATTGGGGCGAGATATTTTTATTATAATTCTATCTTGAAAATGCCAAATGTTTTTTCTGCCTCAGAGGAAGTTTATATATTTTTTTCATTTTACTCAGTTAATGTGGTGAGTTTGAAAATTCAAATACTTGAAAAATCACGTTCCCATCAAACACTGCTTCTTACTGTGCCTTTCTAAGAGGACTACCTTCAACTTGGGCATTTAGAGGATACTTCCCTTCCTATAGCTCAGGGTTTTTTTGTATTTTTTTTATGTTTAAATTTTAGTGATATTTCTTTTATGTGTTTTTAAAATATTTTATGGGCTACTGCATTGACCCATTTGTTTCAACTTTACAGCTCTAGTTAAATATAAAAATTAATAAAATGTCAACACTCAAGTATTACATATATCCCTTGATCTGGTGATTTAGGACTATGAGAAAAATGCTCAATTTCCCTCGATAGAAGGAAGTATGAACTTTTTTATTTATTTATTACTGTAGTCTCACAGCCTAAAAATCAGTAGGTCTCCACTGGTCAGCAAGCAAATGATCATGATTGTTTTTCTGAATTTTTGACAATTTCAGAATAGGCAAGAAAGCTAAGTTTTAAAAATAAAATGCCAACATCAAGAATTTAAAATCAAATTCGTCACAGTGAATCCCAACAGGAAATAGTTCTTCATTTTATGATTACTCAGAGATTTTGCTTGTTGTAGTGGTCTTCCTTCTGGCTCATAATTTTTTGCTACTCTGCAGCAGAAATAATAAGAAATATTTTCCCAGTCCACAGCGGTGAAGGAGAAGAAAACTATAAATCAAAAGTAGCATATTCTGTGGATCATTTATTGAAATAAACACAGTGAGTACAAGATGGGTAATCTATTTGCATAATCAAAGACACCCTTCATCTGTGTCTATTTTTCTCTTTTCTTTTCTTTTCTTTTTTTTTTTTTTTTTTGAGACAGAGTCTCACTCTGTTACCCAGGTTGGAGTGCAGTGGCATGATCTTGTCTCACTGCAGACTCCGCCTCTCGGGTTCCAGCAATCTTCCTGCCACAGCTTCCTGAGTAGCTGGCATTACAAGGTATGGGCCACCATGCCCGGCTAATTTTTGTATTTTTATTAGAGATGGGGTTTCGCTATGTTGGCCAGACTGGTCTTGAACTCCTGGCCTCAAGTGATCTGCCCGCCTCAGCCTACCAAAGTGCTGGGTTACAGGCATGAGCGACTTGCCTGGCTATGTCTATTTTTAACATAGTTATAGTGAACTATAATTATTTTTACATAAAAACTATTCTTACAAATGTTATATGTATTTTAAGAGCATACAAACTTACAGGTTTTTTTATTTAATAAAAACCAGTGGCAGATTGATAATGCAGAATATATTATTTGTAAAAAATCATTTGTTGTCATACAAACATATATTTTATTTGAAAATTATACTTTTGAATAGCTTTTTGGAAAGTTAAAGTATTCTCATTTATTGCATACATTTGTCACCAAAATTATACGAAAGAGTGTTTGATTCAAAATGTGTGTGTGTGTGTGTGTGTTCCTATATAGGACCCAGATAACACATATATATTAAATAAATAAATACATGTATATATATATATCATGCACACACATTTAAATATAATGTAAATGTGTGTGTGTGTGTGTGTGTGTGTGTATGTGTATGTGTATGCAGATGCCCCTCTGGAAACAAATTTAAAAAGAATCCCCTCTTTTGAGTGTATAAAGAAGTTCCTTTCTTAAGGAATGGATAACAGGGGTTGGTACTTTGGCTGAATTCCTCTTCCTCTTACTTTCATTAGACTTGGCACTGTTGCATAGAACACAATTTTCCAAAATGTAATGTCTGTGTTATGCCTACAAATGTACCATACATAACAATTTGTCATTTTCTGTAATTACATACTGACCTATTTAACATTTATCTAACCACTTATATATCTTAATCAAAATAAATCAACCCATGTAAATTGTTTATTTCTATTGTCTTTCTCAGTATAATGCACAAGATACCTTTCTATCTCTATATGTATTTGTCATTTTCATGTCTGTCCCTACATGAGTTGACTCTATTTTTCTGTTACATAGATATGTGATGTTAGTACAATATATGTTAACTAAAAATGGATGATGCAACCTTTTAAAATTATGACCATCGCAGTGAAAATTATGTCTCTAAAATATCAGGGGCTTAGGTATTTTCAGATTAAATTAGGAAAAATAGAGTATCTTTCCATTTATTTATGTGGGCAAATTTCCCATTTGTTCACATTAAATCTTTTAATGGCATATTGCCTAAATCTTTCTCAGAAAAGCTTAGCCAAATTGCCTAGGATGTTTCCTTTCTCCCATATTACCATCACTGTATACCATCATATTTCTAATAATTTTAATTTTGGAACATGAAAATGGTATTTCAATTTAAATGCGTATGTTTTTCTATTTGCAAAGAGATTAAACATCTCTTCAAGTTTTTAAACTATATGCAGCCCTTCTTTTCTGCTATACCTGTTCATTTCCTCAAGCTATTTTTCCATCAGACAGTTTCATGTTTTCTCATTGATTTGAAGCTTCTATTAAAGTATTGTATACACATGGGTAAATGCACATAAGTTTAAAGCTTAGTGAGTTTTAAAATACTATGATCATCCAGAATAAGAAAATGTAATAGTCACACACCTGATTTCCACCCATCCCTCCTAACATAACACTATTCTAACTTTTACCAGTAAGGAATCAAATAGTGTGTGTAGTGTTTTGAACCACATTTTTTTGCTTAATATTATATTTGTGAGACGAATTGACTATATGACCTGCAAATGAAACTATTTATATTTATTTCTCTAATATTTTATTAGGTGATCATATTACAACTTATTTGTTTACTGTACTCTTTATAAGTATTTTAGTCCACTTTTGGGCCACAGTTTGGGGTTATTTTGGTGTTATTCTGAAAAGTGTTTTCATGAGTACACATTTTTTTTAGCTATATATATGCATGCATTTCTGGAGAAACCATCTTTACAAGTAGAATTTTGGGGCCTAATACATATCTTTATCCAAATTATTTGAACTAAGTTATGCCAATAACATCAATTTGAGTGTTCTAATTAGTCAACATTCTCATCAATACTTTGCACTTTCTCTTCAACTTAGAATTCTAAAATATTCCTTTCAAATTCAGGATTCTGAATGACAAGTACTTACATCTCATTGTGGTTTGAATTATTTTTTCAGGTAACCAATATAAATAAAAACCTTTTAATAAGTTCATTGGTTATTTGAATATTTTATTTTTGAAGTGTCTAAAATATTTTCTTTCTAATCCAGTCCAGTTATTTTTCTGTGGTTTGCTTCTTGTTGTCTTATTGAGTTCATTGCCTTTTTAATATTCTTTTCCGGTTAACATTTCCCCCTCATTGATCTGAAATGTTTTCATTATATACCACCTTTCCATATCTGTCAATGTCTTGATTTTCTATATGATCTTCATCTATCTGTAGTTATAACTCATTTTAATCATAGAAGCTTTAAGAATTGCTTAATATTTTGTATTGACTCCAAATTCCATTGATTTTATAGGATATTTCTAGCTATTCTTGCTTCTTTATTCCTCCAAGTAAATTTGTCTATTTTTCTAAATCTGGAAAAAGAAATTCTAGAAAATGTCGTTTTGTTATGACACAGAAGATATAAGTTTATTTAAAGAACTGGCACATTTATGATTTTAAGGCTTTTTCAAGAGCATGGAATTTCTTTCCCCGTGCTCAAGTCCAAATTTGTGCCATTCAGAAGTGTTTTCTAGTTTTTTTTATATATAGGTTTTAAACATTTCTGGTTAAGTTTATGCCCTCACATTTTATTTTAGTTTGGTTAATGACGTTTTACATGTGTGAGTTCCCTCAATTATTTCTTTTAAATGTTCTGATTCAATAGGAACACTCTCCTTAGTATCCTTAACAGAAATGATTCTTGTTTATAGAATTGCTAAATAAGTAAAGAAATTTTAAGTTAAATCATGGCAAGGAGTTATAATTATACTAAGCTTTTTTGTTCCTAGAGGTTTTGGCTCACTCATATGGTAATCTATATGAAAATTTTTCTGTGATATCTAATATTAGAAAGATCCTCAGTGATAGAATAGTGTTTCTTCCTAGCTGATTCATACATCTTTCTCTGCCAACATTTTGTTTGTTGAAGTGTTCCCCAACATATGACTCATTGCTTACTAAATCCCTATTGAGCAGCCAAAGCCCTGGTGACTAATTATGTCATTAATTTGGGAAAGTCAGAGACAATAAGACTGTCAGTTGAAACTTTGTAGGAGGTAAAAAAGTCACTGCTGTCAGCTGCAAAGATCCTTAAAACGGTCTTCAGTAAAGTCAAATTTTGTGACAAGAATTATTGCATCAAAGTCGGGGAAATACCTCTTAGATCAAATAAGATACATTGAAAAGCCAAAAATTATTTTTATCTCACTTTGGGTTCTCATAAGGTCTACCCACTGTTACTTGGATATGAGACTTAACAAATGGAAAAGAAGACAGGGGTACTGTCACACTGTATTTTCCTACGGCCTAATGACCACAATGGTTGATGAACTGCAGTAAAGTTTCTATAATATTTTCCATCTATTCATTTGCTCAATCACCTTGTAATGGTTATGTTGGTTAATTCCAGTCTTTCATGGGTAAGCAACAAAATGAGACTTAATTTGAAATATCCAGTATTTTTCTATTCTTACAAATAATTTTCAGGATCAATGCACTGAGGATTAGGAATGGCAATGTGTATTACTACTCTGATACCAACTATATCCAATCTAATGTTGGAATTTGTTTGACAAAGTGTTGTGTATTTGAAAACAGGCAGCACTGAATAAAAAGAATATGGGCAAAAGAAAAATGGAAGTGTTTTGAATAGAAGTCTAAAATATTTATTGATCAATGCTGAACTGAGTAAGCAGGAGATGCCTGTACATAAATGACATTATCCTGATCTAGTAACAGGGAGAAGCAGAATATCTGAAAGCTGTTTATTAATTTGATAATAATAAGATTAGAAACATGCAAATCAAGATTAATAGTATTCACTTCTAATTGGGTTTAGGTAGACTTTGACTATTTTGCTTCTGATGTTCTTATATTTTTAATTTTCTATAATGATCATATAACATATAATATTTTCATAATATTAAACATTTTAGAATTAAACTCCATTAGAGTGTGTCTTTCCTAAAGTAATATAAACATCCAATCTTGTCCTTAACAATTCTGTTCTCAAACATTAGCCTATTCCCTCAAGCCAGTGTTGCTTTCGACCCATATTGTCCATCATTTCAATTTATCTCAAAGTTTTTTATTGCAACAATTAAATGCTTTGAATGATACCCAAGGCATAGTTCTATTTCAACAAAATTTCAAAGTTAATAGTTACATCAAATTTTGTTGGTGCTCATTGAATTTGGTTATTAAAACCATAAGTAGTATGTTTTATGCTGACTGAGGGAGATAAAAGTAGTAATGTTTAATATTCAAACTGTGATGACTGAAAAAAAAAAATGAGGCCTGTAAAATCTTATTTAATGTCAAATTTTAATTAAACAGGCTTAGCAGACCAAAATTAAAATCTCAATTATTTTTAAATTATTAATGACAGACAACTAGATTGAGTGAACACTGGCATCTCTTTTCAAATAACTTAGTTTAGTGGATGAGTTAAACATAAACTAGTTATTATAATGCAGCGAAGTATGTGAAAAATTTAATTTGAACCCTACTTAGCTTAAAATCCTGACATTCTAGGATGCAAGTCCTGCAAACTTTCCATATGTAATCAACAATTTTCTAAACATGCATGCTGTATCTCTCCTGTGTGACTTTGCATACATCATTCCCACATTCTAGATCATCCCGACCCACCTTAAGTGACTGCTTTTGCACAATCTCCCTTAAAATTCTAACTCAAGCACTGCATCTTTTGAGTCCTTCCCTAACATCTTAACATCTTCCTTCTTTCATTCATCATTAACTATAGTTAGTTATTATAGCACCTGTTAGCACTGTAAAATTATGTGTGTTACACAAGTACAACATGCAGACTAAGGTCGTGTATTACCTAGCCTCATACCAGCGTCACCTAGAACAGCAAAAATGTATGCAGATTAATCACAATATATTTGGATGTACAAAACATATTGAGAGCAAAATATGATGGAAATTTAGGTGATGCTCTTTGAGCATTGCTTCCATTTTCCAATAATGTAACCAGGAATCACTGTTCATGTAATTAAAGAACAATAAGTCTATGTGAATCAAAATATACATATACATGCAAATGTTAAACCTCAGTAGGAAGAGGCCCATTCTCTTGCTTGCTGATATATATATATATATACACACACACACACACACACACACACACACACACATATGTATGTTGTGTGTATATGTATATACACACAACAATCTATAGGCTTGCCTTTTAAAATAGTATAAGCAACAAATTTTAAGAGAAACAATAATGAGTGTGTAAAACATTAGATATGTGTATGTACCTTTGCTATTATTTGTGGAAATGGGGCTATAAAATAAGCTCCTTTATTTTCTTTTGTAAAACATTTCTTTAATATGAAGTAATGCAATACGTATTTATGTTCTAAGTGTTAATTTCCTTGGATATAAAATAATATCTTGTTCCTTTGATTCTCTTACATATAAGTGTATTTACTCAGATATTACTCCAAATACACCAGATATATTCAAAGTTGAAAAAATATATACTTTGGAATGTATTATCACCTTATGTCACATGAAGAAATCAAAATCTCTGGCATCCAAGTGCATTCCAGCCTGAAAAAAATTATGCAATTGTGAATTTAACAGAAAGCAAATTGCTCACATATGGAGTCAACGTGAAGCTATATCAATATTTATTAAAAGTTTATATATTACTTTTGATCCCCTGGAGAGAAATACAAAATTCAAATAATTATTCTATTTTTATATCCCAATTTGTAATTATGAAACTCTAGCATTTTAATTTTTCTCTTTCAAGTTTACCTGAAGCTTCACAAAATTCTGTGAGGAATCTATTATAACAGGTATTTTGCTTATTTCCACACAAACAGAAGGAAATGTGTATTTTCTATGCCCTGAAGAATTTACTCTTTTCTGTAAATGACATATGGTAGTTAATTCTTTTTGGTAATAAAATATTCCTGTTTTTAGGCCGAACAGCCTTTTCATTTAAATTCAGGGCAACATATCAAAGCTTTGCCGTAATAATACAGAGTAATCGACTAAAGTAATATAGAATTTAAATAACAAAGAGTTTAAACAATTTAATATGTCTTCTATTAATTTCAAACTGAAATTTTACAGAAATTATTTGGAATATGCTGCCAGAGTACACACACACACACACACACACACATCACACGCTCACATCACACACTCACACCCAGCTAAAGGAAATTACCACAGCTATAATGATTTCATTAAATATCTGAAATTAAAGTTTCTTTTGGATTTTCAGCTGAAGCTCATAGTAAATAAAAGTAATATGATCATTGTTGCATACTGTGAATCAACAGCACCCAGAAACCTTCGACTTTCTATATTTACACAGCTTAATTATCCGAACTGAAACCTGAGGCCATCTGTGTCAACATGATTTCACAATTCATTCCAGAAAATTATTTTTCAGGAAAGTAAGGCTGCAAACCAATAAATAACTTATTGTTTGCTTCAGGAAATTTCTGCAAATCAATTTATGTCAGTAAGCAACTCTCCTCTGGGCCAACAGATTGCTCACCTGGGCAGGTAGCAGCTTGTGTCAATTAACAGTTTACTTATGAAGACTTCTGTCATGGCCCTTAACTCACAGTGTCCCCCAATCCTAAACTCTATGTCCTGAACATTACCTATTCTTATCAGTCATTGGTCTTGAAAGGCCCCGGGCAACCATTTGAGCCCAGACTTCAATACTCTATCAATACCACCTTATCATCTACTTTTCTAACATGACCCCTCAAGGTGGTGACCCCACTTACAGTCGTCTTTTATTGAATTTAGCTTTCCCTAATCAACATGCTAGTCTATTGGATGCAGTGTCAGAGGCAAAAATCACAGAGGTTCTGAAAGCATCAGCCCATGGTTTTCTAAACATCATGGTTCAAGACCCTTAACACGAAACAGAAAGTTTCCCCGAGGCGCCGTAAACAACCCATTTGGGCGCTTCCCTGATAATTATAGTGAAATCTGGCATCTAATTTTTTTTGGTGGACTCTCAAATTTTATATTTATGTTTTGATTCCTAGAAATAAAAAATGTTTTTATAAGGAATTCTTTGATCGTTTATGTTTTATTCTTGATAGAAACCTACTACTTTATAACTTCGTTTATGTTTTACTCTTGATAGAAACCTACTACTTTATAACTTCGAACATTATTGATGTTCTTCCTGTATTTCTGAGAGGTGACAGCTTGCTGGCATCCCTCGCTGGCTCTCGGCGCCTCCTCGGCCTCAGCCCACTCTGGCCGCGCTTGAGGAGCCCTTCAGCCCGCAGCTGCACCGTGGGAGCCCCTCTCTGTGCTGGCTGAGGCCTGAGCGGGCTCCCTCTGCTGGCGGGGAGGTGTGGAGGGAGAGGCGCGGGCCGGAACCTGGGCTGCCTGCGGTGCTCGCAGGTCCAGCGCGACTTCCGGGTGGGCGCGGGCTCGGCGCGACTTCCGGGTGGGCGCGGGCTCGGCGCGCCCCGCACTCTTGAGCGGTCGGCTGGCGCCGCCGGCCCTGGGCAGTGAGAGGCTTAGCACCCGGGCCAGCAGCTGCGGAGGGTGCACTGGGTCCTCCAACAGTGATGGCCCGCCGGCGCCGCGCTCGAATTTTCGCTGGGCCTCAGCCACCTCCCCGCGGGGCAAGGGGGCAGGGCTCGGGACCTGCAGCCTGCCATGCTGGAGCCCTCACCCTCCTCCCCGCCCCCGTCCCCTGCCCCCCGCCCCCGCCCCCCGCCCCCCAACCGCAGGCTCCCGCGCGCCACCCCGAGGGGACGGGCGCCACCTCCTGCTACGCGGCACCCGGTCCCGTCAACCGCCCAACGGCTGAGGAGTGCGGCAGCGCGCCAGAGACTGGCGGGCAGCTCCGCCCGCGGCCGGGATGCACTAGGCAAAGCCAGCTGGGCTCCTGAGTCCGGTGGGTACTTGGAGAACTTACTACGTCTAGCTGGAGGATTGTAAATGCACCAATCAGCATGCTGTGTCTAGCTCAAGGTATGTGAACGCACTAATCAGTGCTCTGTGTCTAGCTAATCTGGTGGGGACTTGGAGAACTTTTGTGTCTAGCTAAAGGATTGTAAACAGACCAAGCAGCTCTCTGTAAAATGAACCCATCAGCTCTCTATGAAATGGACCGATCATCAGGATGTGGGTGGGGTGAGATAAGGGAATAAAAGCAGCTGCCAGAGCCAGCAACAGCAACGTGCTAGGGTCCCTTTCCACAGTGTGGAGGCTTTGTTCTTTTGCTCTTTGCAGTCTTGCTGCTGCTCACTGTTTGGCTCTGCGCAGAGCTGTAACACTCACCGAGAAGGTCTGCAGCTTCACCCAAAGATATTCCAAAGATACAGAAAACTATATAGAGACATTTTGTATAGTTCTAATAGCATATAATCCACAGGTCCCTGATCTATAATATGGGTTTTTTATAAAATTGTTTTTTTGTATGCTATGAGGAATTTTACTTGTTAAAAAGAAGAGGTGGAAAGGCAGAATATGAAAACTATGAAAATGACATAAGAGACTATGAATTAGGTCAGAAACCAGAGAGGTTTAGAAACCTGTAGACATTGTGCATCCCCCAATGCCTTTCCCCTTAAAAAAAATTATATTCTAATCCAGTCCATCAAATAAAGTCTACGTTCATTAGAAACATATTCTCTTGGTTTTTATAATTTCAGTTTTTTTCAGACACAGATAGTGCATATGCAGATTTGTTACTTTTGTACAGTGCACCCTGGTAGTGAGCATAGTACCCAGTAGGTAGTTATTCAGCCCATGCTCCCCTCTTTCCCCCACCCCCGTAGCCTGCAGCATGTCTTGTTCCCATGTTAATGTTCCTGTGTGCTCAGTGTTTAGGTTCCACTTATAAGTGAGAATGTGTGGTATCTGGTTTTCTTTTCCAGCACTAATTTGCTTAGGATTATGTCCTTAGCTCCATCCATATTGCTGCAAAGGACATAATTTCATTCTTTTTTATGGAGGCATAGTATTCCATAGTGTATATGTACCACATTTTCTTTATCCAATCCACCTTTGATGGGCACCTAGGTTCATTCCATGTCTGTGCTATTGTGAATAACATGCTGATGAACGTACGAGTGCATGTATATTTTTCTGGTAGAATAATTTATTTTCCTTTGAATATATACCCAGTAATGGGAATGCTGGGTCGAAGGGTATCTCTGTTTTAAGTTCTTAGAGAAATCTCCAAAATACTTTCCACAGTACCTGAACCAGTTTACATTTCCATCAACAGTAGTGTATAAGCATTCCCTTTACTCTGCAGCCTGGCCAACATCTAATTTTTTTACTTTTTAATTATAGCTGTTGTGACTGATGTGAGATGGCATCTTACTGTGGTTTTTGCTTGCATTTATTTATTTGATGATTAGTAAGGATGAGTGTTTTTTCATATACTTGAGTGTCTTCTTTTGAGAAAATATCTGTTCATGTCCTTTGCCTTTTCTTGATTTAAATTTTAAGTTCTGGGGTACATGTGCAGGAAGCGCAGTTTTGTTACATAGATAAACGTGTGTGGTGGTGGTTTGCTGCACCTATCAACCCATCACCTAGGTATTAAGCCCAGCATGCATTAGCTATTTTTCCTGATGCTCTCCCTCTCCTCAACCCCCTACAGAAAATTATAGTGTGTGTTGTGTGTTGTTCCCCATTGTGTGTTGTTCCCCTCCCTGTGTCCATGTGTTCCCATTGTTCAGCTCCCACTTATAAGTGAGAAGATGCGGAGTTTGATTTTCTGCTCCTGTATTAGCTTTGCCCTTTTTAACTGGGGTTGTTTTATGCTTGTCATTTTTTCTTCCTTATGGATTTGTTATATTAGATCTTTATCAGATGCATAGTTTGCAAATATTTTCTCCCATTCTGTAAGTTGTCTGTTTACTCTGTGGATAGTTTCTATTGCTGTGCAGAAGCTTTTTAGTTTGATTGACTTTCACTTGTCAATTTCGTTTTTGTTGCAATTGTTTTTAGAAACTTAGCCAAAAATTATTTGCCAAGGCCAATGTCGAGAAAAATATTTCCTAGGTTTTGTTTTAGAGTTTTCATAATCTGAAGTCTTACATTTTAACCTTTAATCCATCTTGAATTAATTTGTGTGTATGGTGGAAGGTAAGCATCCAGTTTCACTCTTCTGCTTATGGCTAGCGAATTATCCCAGCACCATTTATTGAATAGGGTGCCTTTTCCCCATTGTTTGTTTTTGTTGGCCTTGTCCACGATCCAGATGGTGGTAAGTGTGCAGCTTTATTTTTGAGTGTTCTATTCTGTTCCATTGGCTTAAGTGTCTGCTTTTGTAACAGTATCATGGTTAGTGTACACTTATAGTATAGCTGGAAATTGGGTAGTATGACGCCTCTCTGGCTTTATTATTTTTGCTCAGAATTGCTTTGGCCATTCTGGCTTTTGGGGGTGTTCCATATAAATTTAGAATAGTTTTTTCTAATTCTGTGAAGAATGATGTTGGTAGTTTCATGGAGATAGCCTTGAATCTACAAGTTGCTTTGGGCAGTGTGGCCATTTTAACATATTGATTCTTTTAATCTGTAAACATGGAATGTTATTCCATTTATTTGTGTTATCAAAATCTCCTTCCTTCCTTCCTTCCTTCCTTCCTTCCTTCCTTCCTTCCTTCCTTCCTTCCTTCCCTCCCTCCCTCCCTCCCTTCCTCCCTTCCTTCCCTCCCTCCCTCCCTTCCTCCCTTCCTTCCATCCTTCCTTCCTTTTCTTATTTCCTTCCTTTTTTGAGACAGAGTCTCACCCTTTCACCCAGGCTGGAATGCAGTGGAGTTATTATAGCTCACTGCAGGCTTGAACTCCTGGCCTCAAGCCGTCAGGGTAGTTAGGACTACAGGCATGTGCCACCATGCCTCGCTATTTAAAAAAAAAAAAAAAATTTGTATAGATGAGGTTCCACTATGTTGCCTAGGTTGGTCTCAAAACTCCTGGGTCCAAGCGATATACCTGCCTCGGCCTCCCAAAGGCATGAACCACTGCATCCAGCTTCAGATTTCAGCTGTGTTTTGTAATTCTCCTTGTGGAGATCGTTCACATCTTAGGTTAGTTGTATTTGCAGGGATTTTATTTTCATCCTAGGTGTTGTAAATATGATTGTGTTCTTAATTTAACTCTCAACCTGGATGTTGTTGTTGTATAGAAATGCTACTAATTGTTGTACATTGATTTTGTATCCTGAAACCTTGCTAAAATCCTTTATCATTTCTAGTAGACTTTTGTTGAAGTCTTTAAGGTTTTTTAGGTATAGAAGGATATTGTTGGGTGAAGACAGATAGTTTGCCTTAATCTTTACTTCCTATTTGAGTGCTTTTCTCTTTTTCTGTTGCAAGATTGCTCTGACTAGGATTTCTGGTACTATGTTGAATAGGAGTGGTAAGAGTGGATGTCCTTGGCTTGTTTCATTTCTAAAGGAGAATGCTTTCAGCTTTTGCCCATTGAGTATTATATTGGCTGTGGGTTTGTTGTAGATAGCTCTTTTTTATTTTGAAGTATGCTTATTTGAAGCCTCAACTGTTGAGGGTTTTTTTTTGTTTTGTTTTTTCATGAAGGGACACTGGATTTAATTGAAAGCTTTTCCGGCATCCGTTGAGATGATCATATGGTTTTTGATTTAATTCTGTTTATCTGGTGAATCACATTTATTGATTTGCATATGTTGAACCAGCCATGCATCCCAGGAATAAAGCCTGTATTGTCATAGTAGATTAATTTTTTGATATGCTGCTGATGGATTCAGTTTGCTAGTACTTTGTTGAGAATTTTTGAGTCTATGTTCGTCAACAGTGGTCACCTGAATGTTCTTTTTTTTTGCGTCTCTGCCAGGTTTTGGTATTAAGCTGCTTCTGGCTTCACAGCGTGAGTTAGGAAGGAGTACGTTCTCTTCAACTTTTCTGGAATAGTTTCAGTAGAATTGTACTAGTTCTTCGTTATACTTCCGGTAGAATTTTGCTGTGAATCCATATAGTCCAGGGCTTTTTGGCTTGGTAGATTTTTTATTACTTATTCAATTTCAGAGCTTCATATTGGTCTCTTCAGTATTTCAGTATCTTCCTGATTCAATCTTGGAAGATTGCCTGTTTTCAGAAATTTATCCATTTCCTCTAGATTTTCTAATTTTTGTGTCTAGAGTTATTCCTAGTATTCTCTGAGGATTATTTTGTATGTCTGTGGGACCATTTTTAATGTCGTTTTTGTCATTCTGATTTATATATTTAGATCTTCTCTTTTTTTTCTTTGTTTATCTAGCTAAAGGTCTATCAATCTCTTTTTTTAAATCAACTCTTGGTTTCATTAATCTTTTGTATGGATTTTTGCATCTCAATTTCATTCAGATCTTCTCTATTTTAGTTGTTTCTTTTCATTCCTAGCGTTGATGTAGGGTTGTTCTTTTTTTTTTCTTCCCTAGTTCCTTTAGGTGTAGTGTTAGATTGTTAATTTGAAGTATTTCTAACTTTATGATAAAGGCATTTAAACGTTCCTCTTAACACTGATTTAGCTGCATCCCAGAGATTTTGGTAATTTGTGTTCCCATTTTCATTAATTTCACTTTCTTAAAATTTCTCCCTTAATTTTGATTTTCACACAGAAGTTATTCAGGAGAAAGTTGTTTAATTTTCATCTATTTGTGTAGTGTTGAGAGATGTTGGTATTTATTTATATTTTGATTACATTGAGATCTAAGAGTGTGCTTGATATGATTTCATTTTTTAAAATTTATCCAGACTTGCTTTATGACCAAGCATGTGGTCAATGTTAGAATATGTTCCCTGTGCAGATGAGAAGAATGTATATTCTGTGGTTATTGAGTGGAGTGTTCTGTAGATGTCTTATTAGGTCCAGATGGTCAAGGGTGAAGTTTAAGTACACAGTTTCTTTCTTAGTTATCTGCTTTGATGATCCAGTGCTGCCAGCGGGGGTGTTGAAGTCTCCTACAGTTATTGGGTGGTCGTCTGTCTTTTTGTAGTCCAAAAAGAACTTGTTTTATGAATCTGGGTGCTCCATGTTGGGTGCATTTATATTTAGGGTACTTAAGTATTCTTGTTTGATCATATACTTTCTCATGACATAATGCTCTTCATTCTTCAATTGTTCTTTTTAATTTTGATTAAAGTCTGTTTTATCTGATATAAGAATAGTTACTCCTGCTTTTTTGTTATCATTTGCATGGCAGATTTTCTCCATCCCCTTATTTTGGGCCAGTGGCTGTCATTACATATGAGGTGAGTCTCTTGAAGACTGCAGATGGTGAGCCTTGCATTTTTATCCAGTTTGCCATTGTATGTCATTTAAGTGGGGGTGTTTAGCCTATTTACATTTATGGTTAATGTTGATACATGAGATTTTGATCCTATCATCACGTTTGTAGCTGGTTTTTAGGTAGACTTGATTGTGTAGATACTTTATAGTGCCTGTGAGCTATGTACTTCAGTGGGTTTTTGTGGTAGCAGGTGTCATTCTTTTTACTCAATGTATAGCACTCCCTTAAGGACCTTTCATAAGGCTGGTCAAGTTGAAATTGATTCCCTCAGTATTTGCTTATCTGAGGAGAAATTTGTTTCTTCTTCACTTAGGAAGTTTAGTTTAGTGAAATATAAAATTATTGCCTGGAATTTATTTTCATTAATGATGTTGGACATAGGCCCTTAATCTCTTCTGGCTTGTAAGGTTTTTGCTGAGATATTTACTACTAGCCTAGTGGAGTTCTTGCTTTATGAAAACATGACCTTTCTCTCTAGCTGCCTTTAAGATTTTTTTTTTCTTTTGTATTTACTTTGGTGAATATGATGACTGTGTGCCTTAGGGATAGTCACCTTTTATAGTGCCTAGCTGGGTTTGCTGTATTTTTTGGATTTACATGTCACTCTCTCTAGCGAGGTTAGGAAAATTTTCATAGACTCTATTCTCAAATCTATTTTCCAAGTTGCCTTTTCTCTTTGTTTCTCTTCTAGGAATGACAATGAGTCGTAGATTTGGTCTCTTTATATAATTCCATATTTCTTAAAGCTTTGGTTCATTTTCTTTTTTTAATTCTTTTTTAAAATTTTCTTTTGACTCAGTTGATTCAACGAACCAGTCTTTGAGCTCTGAGATTCTTTCCTTAGCTTGGCCTACCTTCTGTTAATATTTCTTACTGTATTATAAAATTCTTATACTGAATTTTTTCTGCTCTAGAAATTCAGTGTGGCTGTTGTTTAAAATGGCAATTTCATCTTTCAGCACTTACTTAGATTGCTTTACTGGATTACTTGGCTAGGGTTTCAACTTTCTCCTTAATGTTCATGAGCTTCCCTGCCATCGAGGTTCTGTATTCTATGTCTGTTGCAATTATTTTAGACTGATTAAGAACCATTGCTTGGTAGCTAGTGGGCTAATTTTGAGGTAAGAGGACACTCTAGCTTTTTGAATTGCCAGAGTTCTTGCACTGATTTTTTCTCTTCTGGTAGGGTTAGTGTTCCTTTAACTGTAGTGTATGTTGAGTATAGGCAATTGGTTTTGTTTCTGGATGCTTTCAAAGGGTCAGGGCTTTCTCTGTCCAGGATTTTTATGTATGAGTAATTCTTGTGTTTGGTTTCACAGGTGTATATGTAGCAGGATAAATTTTGATGTTGTAGTTTGGGATGTGATCCAATGCATAGTGCTTAAGAGTGATGGCCAGTGGCTAGCCTAATACCCAGTGGCATGGCTGTTTTATACTTCCTTTTGTTTGCAGGTGTGCTCTATAGTGGGGGTGGGAGAGATGCCTCCATCACCAGATGTGCTCCTGGGCCCTGGGGGAGTCTCCTGCAATCACTGTGTTTCTTGTGTTAGGTGTTCTAGGCCACAGGTCTCTCTCAGGCAGAGGCCCTTTCCTAGGAGCCATTCTGGGGAACTAGCTGTAGTGTTTGGGTTCCCTGCACAGGCTTCCTCCCTCTTCAGCTCAGCTTCATTGCTGCCTCTGCATCCACTCAGCATTTTCTCTCTCAAGATCTGCCTAAATTACGGTGGTTTACTCCATAATTTGGTATCTCTCAGTGGGGGTGGTGCTTCCTGACCATGTCAAATTGACCATGTATTGTCACAGAATGAAAACCTCTTTGATAGACTTTGTAACATTTTTGAATATTACATTCAGGAGTAAAATCTTACGCAGTGTGATCCCAGCTATCTCTTCACTTTTGAGAATAACCTTAAGTAATTAAAGGATAATTAAATATGTAATTAAAAATTGAAAAATATAACAGCTACACTTCCAGATGTCAACTTCTTTCAGAAAATTTTAAAATCTCTTTAAAGAAAGGTAAATTGAGACCAAAATAGATTAATAGCTTTATAAAAATAAGTGCTCAAGGAGGGTGTTACATGTGAAAATTAAACTTGGAATTTGTCATTTTACCCGTAAAATTACTGAGAGTAATTTCCTTGAAATGGAAATAACTTTACAAATTTTTAATTAACAAAAATGCTGAAATATTACTCCGCTTACCTTTATGTAACCTCTTCCTTGAAAACAACAATTTACTCATCTGGTGTGTGACTCTGATAACCTTCAATCATTCTCTATATCTGACACCATGACTAGTAACTTAGATCTTTAACTAAGCAACCTTTCTTTCCACCTTTGTGATATTATATCTAGTAATTTAATAACAGACAATCTATGTTGCAAATTAAACTTCCAAATTGAATAGTAATTTTCAAATCCCAAGGACCCATTTCTTCTGCCTCAATCTTAATTAGGTCTTAGTTAATAGAAAAATTAACTGGCTGGGTGCGGTGGCTCATGCCTGTAATCCCAGCACTTTGGGAGGCCAAGGTGGGCGGATCACCTGAGGTCTGAAGTTCGAGACCATCCTGGCCAACATGGTGAAACCCCATGTGTACTAAGAACACAAAAAATTGGCCGGGTATGGTGGTGGGTGGGTGCCTGTAATCCCAGCTACTCAGGAGGCTAAGGCAGGAGAATCACTTGAACTGGCGGGGTGGAGGATGCAGTGAACCGAGATCCCAGCACTGCGCTGCAGCCTGGGCAGCAACAGTGAAACTCCTCAGAAAAAAAAAAAAAAAAAAGAAAAAGAAAAAGAAAAAAGAAAATTAACTAAATCAAGCCTAAATAAAACATATTCACAAAGTGGCAGACTTTTTTAATCCAAAAATTTAACTGTATTAATGTCTCATTTATAGAACATTATTTTACAATGAGGTTTTACACATCAATCAGTTGAGTCACTTCTTTTTTTTTTTGAGATGGAGTCTCGCTCTGTTGCCCAGGCTGGAGTGCAGTGGTGTGACCTCAGCTCACTGCAACCTCCACCTCCTGGGTTCAAGCGATTCTCCTGCCTCAGCATCCTGAGTACAGGCACTACAGGCACGTGAGCAAGAGAAGCTGACAGATTCAAATGTTCACAAACATTTATGTTCTATTTTGATAGATACATAAACTATGTTTCTCATTCTTATATACTTTATATTAGGGCATGGGATTAAAGTCAAAATAGTGGAAAATTAGTAGAAATAACATATTTTATATCCAATTTAGTCTCCAAAATCCCAACATGCACTCTTCTGTATACGTTTTTCAGTATGCTTGACTGGAACGGCCAATTCTACAGTAGTCTTGGAAGCAACATACTGCAGATTAAATACCTTAGTAGCCTATGTTCTTGAATGCGGACATAAAGGAGCAATGCTTTTCCTATCTTAAAAAAACAGTTTATATGAATGAAACTTCTGTTCTGTTTAAGATATTATATGTTGTTGAGTGTAGTTGTCAAAGCAACTAGCACGATTCCAAGTAATATAGAAATCACCAGCTTGAGTTGGGTCTGCCATAACAGCACCTAAAACGTATCCACTAAATTAGTATTAAATGGACAAGTAAACCAAACTCAGAGGGTTGAAATGAAGACTTGTAATACCCAGTGAAAAAAAATTATTGAAACTACCATCTAAAATTAATTGGAAGCTTAATATTACCTCTAGGAAAGAGTGTGGGAAATGAGGAAAGGCAAAAGGTAATGTGTTCATGTTTGTTCTGTTCCATAATCCAAGAAATAGATAAACACAGGCAAAAAAAAAAAAAAAAAAAAAGAAAAAAGAAATATCCTGTCTTTAGAGTGGAAAGAAAGTGGATAGAGTTGAGTTGCTAAACCTTAGCATTATTGACATTTTATGCCTGATATTCCTGCATTCTGTGGGAGGTTATTCTTTGCATTGTAGGATATTAATAGTATCTTTAGGCTATACCACCACATACCAGTAGCATCACCACCTAATCATTATAATTCAAAATGTCTCCAGACACTGACAAGTGTTCTATGGAAACAAAGTCATTCCTTGTTGGAAACCACTTGTAAACAAAAAGTCTAGTAATGGTGGAATTATACAGTGACAGAAAAGCTCAGGTTTTTCTGATTAGGTTGAAAAAGCTGCTCAGAAATTAAATCCTACTGTGTTCATAAAAAACAAGGAACCCAGCCCTGAAGCAAAGAACTCATCAGGGAAGTTGTTTTCTCTTTCAAGTCTATGATTTCAAATGACCTTAAAGTGGTCATCTTTACAGTCAGAGAAGCATATGTGTGTTGGGGAGGAGAAAAAAGAAGGAAATGAGGCAGACTTTAGAATTATACCTAGGAAAGAACTGTATGTTTGGTTATAAACTAGATCCAATAAATAAATAAATGGTTTCCACATAACTACTTGGCAAAGGTACAATAAGCCTATTGTGAGAAAAAAAAATTAAGGCTTAAAATATCCTCAAGCATCCCAAATTGCACTAATCAGTGCAATTGATTAGTCATGCTGAGAAAACACTCATTGTTCTAATTTAAGATGGAGGCATGGAGAATAAGAGAAAATGTAAATTACCTCAGAAAGTAAATCTATGAGCCACAGGGACAATGGACCTTAAAGTTATTTCCACAGGACATGTTTATGGTTTCATCAAATAAATATTTGTACTGCTCAGAAATATTTTTGTCAGTGCTCTGCAGACTTCTTTGTCTTCTGATAGGAGCTTCACCATGGTAACTTAGATTTTACAGATAATTTGTCTTTTGACTTTATAGGACACTAGTCCTCGTTAAGTCATATAGTGGCCTGAGGGAGAGAACTGCACGTCATGAAACATCCTGAACTCTAAGTTGTAGGCAGTAACTGGGCAAAACTTTAAGTTGTTTACAGAGGGAAGAGAAGTGAATTTTTCATATATAAAGAAGTGTGCAAATTGTATTTCATGAGTAGTCTTTTGTCTTCTGGAATGGTGATATATACAAAGTAATCTGGGAAGATACAATTTGGTAATAGTAGATCCTTCGTTAACTTGAATTATTTTTTGCAGGAAAGATGCGTCTTTAGCCAAAATTACTTATGGTAAACTGTTATGTAAGCAAGAAATCACCTTCTACTTGGTTTAAGCTATTCAGTGTACTCTCTAGATAGATATGACACAAAGCTAGCATTATGATACAGTAAACCAAGTGTTAATGTAACTTTATGTTGATTTTGACTACATTCTGAAAATAATAAAAGTCATCTGGTATTTTAGGCTTACGATATGAACTTGATACTATGATAGGTGTCTGAAATGTTTATCTCATTTGATTCTTAGAACAAACTTATATTGTGGGTACTAATACAGTACTGATTTTTTAAATAAGAAAAAGGATTGCAAAAAATGTAAAAAGTCTTATTAAAGAGTACAAAATTCTATCTCCAAATGTGTAATGAATTTTATATAGTCAGTTAATATTTGTTTAGCTCAATAAAGTAATGTTCGGTGTAATAGTTGATTTCTTTAATGTTCATTCAGAATCACATTATCAATTTGAAATTAATTCACCTATTCGAAGAAGTTGCTTCCTCCAATTAAGACAGTATAGTAAGCAAAATAATGGTTTACAAAACAAACAAACCAACAAAAAAAAAACCGCATGTCCTGATTTCTGGAAGCTGTGAATATGTTAACTATCTGGTAAAAGGGGCTTTGCAAGTATTATAATGTTAAGGATGGTAAGATGAAAAAGTGTCCTTTTGAGTTCAGTGTAATCAAATGGGTTTAAACTAGGGAAACATTCTTGGCTAGAAACATAAGGTGGTATGATTTCAAAAGAATGGTCAGAGAGACACAGCATTTCTGGTTTGAACAAATGAAAGACCATAAGCTAACAAATCAGGACAGCCTCTGGAGGCTGGAAAAGTCAAGGAAACTGATTTTCCCCTAAAACCTTCAGAAAGGAACACAACAGTTCTCACTCTTTGATTTTAGCCTCATAAGATGCATTGCAGACATCTGACAAACACAATTGTTTGACACTATATTTGTGCTATTTTAAACCACTAACTTTGTAGTAATTGGCTACAGCAGCAGTAAGAAAATAATGCAGAGTGTTTCTATAATGGAGATAAAAGTATAAACAAGAGGCAAGGATTTCCTTCCTTCACAGTGTTTATAATATACTAAGAAAACAAACATTAAATACACAGGGCCCCAATAGATTATTCCACTTTAATTTTAGCTGGCACTGTGGAAGGAAAATAGAAATTCTAGAATATAGTGAATAGGAATATAACTTATTCTTATGTGGGAAGAAATGCTTATTACTGAATACTATTTGGGCTGAAAATAAATGCACTGTAGTTACAGTAAGTACAGTAAAAAAGGTAGTTTGCTATAAGGGAACAGAGCCATTGAAATGTAATGAAAGTCATCAAAGTTTTAGGCACTAACTATAAGTTGCAAGGAGTTAAACAATTATAAGCAGTCCGATTATTAAAAAAATATGTGCCTGATTCTCAAAATCACAAGTATTCTTTAAGATTGCTAACCGTAGTAGTCAGTTTTCACAATGATATAAAGAATGACTTGAGACTGAGTAATTTATGAAGAAAAGAGATTTAATTGATTCATAGTCCTTCAGGCTTTACAGGAAGCATGAATGGGAGGACTCAGGAAACTCAGAAAATCATGGTGGAAGGCAAAGGGGAAACAAGGTTCTTCTTGACATGGCACCAGGAGAGAGAGAGCACAAGGAGGGAAGTGCCACACACTTTTAAACCATCAGATCTCTTGGAACTCACTCACTATCATGAGAATAGCATGTGGAAATCTGCTCCCATGATCCAGTCACCTCCACCCAGGCCCCTCTCTTGACATGAGGGGATTACAATTTGAGATGAGATTTGGGTGGGGACAGAGGGCCAAGCCATATTATTTCTCCTCTGGCCCCTCCCAAGTATCATGTCCTTCTCACATTTCAAAACCAATCATGCCTTCCCAACAGACTGAAAGTCTTAACTTATTCCAGCATTAACTCAAAAGTCCATGTCCAAAGTTTCATCTGAGACAAGGCAAATCGCTTCTGCCTATAAGCCTGTAAAATCAAAAACAAGTTAGTTAATTTCAAGACAACAGTGGGGGTACAGGGATCAGGTAAACACTCCAATTCCATAAGGGAGAAATTAGCCAAAACAAAGGGTCTGCAGGCCCCATGCAAGTCCAAAACCCGACAAGGCAGTCATTAAATCTTAAGGCTCTGAAACAATCTTCTTTGACCTCATCTCTCACGTCCAGAGCATACTGATGCAATATCTGGGCTCCCATGAGCTTTGACAGCTCTGCCTCTGTGGCTCTGCAAGGCACAGCCCCCACAGCTGCTTTCACAGGCTAGGATTGAGTGCCTGTGACTTTTCCAGGCACACTGTGCAAGCTGTCAGTGGATCTACCATTCTGGGGTCTGAAGCACTATGACCCTCTTCTCAAAGCTCCAGTAGGGAGTGCCCCAGTGGGGAATCTGTGTGGGGGCTCCAACCCCACATTTTCCCTCTGCACTGCCCTAGTAGAGGTTCTCCATAAGGGCTCCACTTCTGCAGCAGACTTTTGCCTAGACATCCAGGCATTTCCATACATCCTCTGAAATCTAGATGGAGGTTCCCAAACCTCACCTCTTCCCTTCTGCACAACCACAGGCCCAGCCTCATGTGGAAGCCACCAAAGCTTGAGGCTTGTATTCTCTGAAGCAATGGCCTGAGTAGTGCCTTGGACCCTTTTAGCCACAGTTGGAGCTGAGCAGCTGGAACACTGGGCACCATGTCCCGAGGCTGCCCAGAGCAGCAGGGCCCTGGGCCCATCCCACTAAACAATTTCTCCCTCCTAGGCCTCCAGGCTTATAATGGGAGGGGCTGCCTCAAAGGTCTCTGAAATGTACTGGAGACGTATTCCACATTGTCTTTGCCATTAACATTTGGCTCCTCTTTACTTATGCAAATTTTTGCTTGAATTTCTCCCAAGAGCGTGGGTTTTTCTTTTTTACTATATGGTTAGGCTGCAAATTTTCCAAACTTTTATGCTCTGCTTTCCTTTTAAATATACGTTTCAGTTTCAAGCCATCTCTTTCTTCATGGACATGAGCATAAACTTTTAGAAGCAGCCAGGCCACATGTTGGAAGGTCTGTTGCTTAGAAATTTGTTTCACCAGATACCCTAAATCATCTCTCTGAAGTTCAACATTACACAGATCTCTAGGGCCGGGTCAAAAGGCTGTCAGTCTCTTTGCTAAAGCATAGCAAGAGTAACTTTTTCTTCAGTTCTCAATGAGTTCCTCATCTCCATCTGAGACCCCCTCAGCCTGGACTTCATTATCCAAATCATTATCAGCATTTTGTTCACAACCATTCAACAGGTCTCTAGGAAGATTTAAACTTTCCCATATCTCCCTGTCTTCTTCTGAGTCCTCCAAACTGTTTCCTACCTCTGCCTGTTACCCAGTTCCAAAGTTACTTCCATATTTTCAGGTATTTTTATAGCAATGCCCCACTTCTCTGGTACCAATTTTCTGTATCTATCTCTTCTCAAACTGCTATAAAGAACTACTGGGTAATTTATGAGGAAAAGAGGTTTAATTGACTCACAGTTCTGCAAGCTTAACAGGAAGCACGACTGGGAGGCCTCAGGAAACTAACAATCATGGCAGAAGGTAAAGGGGGAGCAGGTGCCTTCTTCACATGGTGTCAGTAGAGAGAAGAGCCGGGGGGAAGTTCCACACACTTTTAAACCATCAGATCTTGTGAGAACTCACTGACTGTCACGAGAACAGTATGGGAAATCCACCCCCATGATCAAATCACCTCCTACCAGACCCCTCCCCTGACACGTGGGGATTACGATTCAACATGAGATTTGTGTGGGGACACAGAGCCAAAGTATATCACTCACCTAATAAGTGCTTATCTTGATTAAATTGTATGGAAAACTACAACTTAAATTATGTGATCAGAAATTCTATCTAATGATAGACATTAATTCAAATGCCACCATGTTCTCCTGTCAGCTTCTCATATATTGTCATGGATATGATTTAATTGTCCTTCAGTGTCATGGAACACATCCTGAGATTCAGCTGATGAAGTTGCAAACTGGATAAATATAAATGATGATGTTTCAAAAAAGAAAATCCTCACTTAGTAAAAAAATGTTAGGTTTATTTTACACTTTCTTGACAGCTGAACTAATATAAAAAGCACTCACCTTGTTTCTTTCAGTTTTGTGTATGTTTTGATTGTGTCAGCTGAGTTCTTCTTCACGGGATTTTCTATGTGTCAGAGACACTTGTCCCCCATTCTGTTTTCCTGTGTAATCTCAAAATTGACAAGGGTCTTCACTGTATGTGAAAAGGATGTCTGTGTTGCTTGATTTTATGTGTGACTACTGTTTGCGATTGTCCTTTTCCCAATATGACATGTAATTTTACAGCACAGATAGTTTTTCAAAAGAATTACATTCCCAGGCTTAGCAGAGGGAGCGGCCTACTTATTGAAATGTGAAATCGAATCTCTGAAACAGAAACACCAAATTATTATACTAATCTGTAAAGTAGCTATAAAACGTTATTTTTCAGAGTGAAGTATCTGTCAAGATGGCTAGTTTTGGTGTATAATAGAAACGGTATTTTATTCCTTTTATTTCTGTAAACAGATTAAGTCTGTGTGTGTGTGTGTGTGTGCGCGCGCGCGCGTGTGTGTGTGTGTGTACATGGGATATAATACAAATCTACCTCGACTTATAATGAGTTACATCCTGATAACCACAGGCCAAGATGTGTTATGATGGATCTGGATATACTCATAAGTTGAAAATATTTTAGGTAAAAAATGCATTTAGTACATTTAACAAAAATACTGGCAAACCGAGTCCAGCAGCACATCAAAAAGCTTATCCACCAAGATCAAGTTGGCTTCATCCATGGGATGCAAGACTGGTTCAACATACGCAAGTCAATAGATGTAATCCATCACATAAAGAGAACCAAAGACAAAAACCACAAGATTATCTCAATAGATGCGGAAAAGGTCTTTGACAAAATTCAATAGCCCTTCATGCTGAAAACTCTCAATGAACTAGGTATTGATGGAACATATCTCAAAATAATAAGAGCTATATATGACAAACCCGCAGCCAGTATCATACTGAATGGGCAAAAACTGGAAGCTTTCCCTTTGAAAACTAGCAGAAGACAGTGATGCCCTCTCTCACCACTCCTATTCAACATAGTGTTGGAAGTTCTGGCCAGGGCAGTCAGGCAAGAGAAAGAAATAAAGGGCATTCTATTAGGAAAAGAGGAAGTCAAATTGTCCCTGTTTGCAGGTGATATGATTGTATATTTAGAAAACCCCATCATCTCAGCCCAAAATCTCCTTAAGCTGATGAGCAACTTCAGCAAAGTCTCAGGTTACAAAATCAGTGTGCAAAAATCACATGCATTTGTATACACCAATAACAGACAATCAGAGAGCCAAATCATGAGTGAACTCCCATTCACAGTTGCTACAAAGAGAATAAAATACCTAGGAATCCAACTTACAAGGGATGTGAAGGACCTCTTTAAGGAAAACTACAAACCACTGCTCAACGAAATACAAGAGGACACAAACAAATGGAAGAACATTCCATGCTCATGGGTAGGAAGAATCAATATCGTGAAAATGGCCATACTGCCCAAGGTAATTTATAGATTCAATGCCATCCCCATCAAGCTACCAATGACTTTCTTCACAGAATTGGAAAAAACTAAAGTTCATATGGAATCAAAAAAAGAGCCCATATTGCCAAGACAATCCTAAGCAAAAAGAACAAAGCTGGAGGCATCACGCTACCTGACTTCAAACTATACTACAAGGCTACAGTAACAAAAACAGCATTTTACTGGTACCAAAACAGAGATATAGACCAATGGAATGGAACAGAGGCCTCAGAAATAACGCTAAACATTTACAACCATCTGATGTTTGACAAACCTGACAAAAACAAGAAATGGGAAAAGGATTCCCTATTTAATAAATGGTACTGGCTAGCCATATGTAGAAAGCTGAAACTGGATCCCTTCCTTCACCTTATAGAAAAATTAATTCAAGATGGATTAAAGACTTAAATGTTAGACCTAAAACCATAAAAACCCTAGAAGAAAACCTAGGCAATACCATTCAGGACATAGGCATGGGCAAGGACTTCATGTGTAAAACACCAAAAGCAATGGCAACAAAAGCCAAAATAGACAAATGGGGTCTAATTAAACTAAAGAGCTTCTGCACAGCAAAAGAAACTACCATCAGAGCGAACAGGCAACCTACAGAATGGGAGAAAATTTTTCCAATCTACCCATTTGACAAATAGCTAATATCCAGAATCTACAAAGAACTTAAACCAATTTACAAGAAAAAAACAAAGCCATCAAAAAGTGGACAAAGGATATGAACAGACACTTTTCAAAAGAAGACATTTATGCAGCCAACAGACACATGAAAAAATGCTCATCATTACTGGTCATCAGAGAAATGCAAATCAAAACCACAATGAGATAGCATCTCACACCAGTTAGAATGGCGATCATTAAAAAGTCGGGAAACAACAGGTGCTGGAGAGGATGTGGAGAAATAGGAATGCTTTTACACTGTTTGTGGGAGTGTAAACTAGTTCAACCATTGTGGAAGTCAGTGTGGCAATTCCTCAAGTATCTAGAACTAGAAATACCATGTGACCCAGTGATCCCATTACTGGGTATATACCCAAAGCATTATAAATCATGCTGCTATAAAGACACATGCACATGTATGTTTATTGCGGCACTCTTCACAATAGCAAAGACTTGGAACCAACCGAAATGTCCATCAATGATAGACTGGATTAAGAAAATGTGGCATACATACACCATGGAATACTATGCTGGCATAAAAAATGATGAGTTCATGTCCTTTGTAGTGACGTGGATGAAGCTGGAAACCATCATTCTGAGCAAACCTTCGCAAGGACGGAGAACCAAACACCGTGTGTTCTCACTCATAGGTGGGAATTGAACAACGAGAACACTTGGACACAGAGTGGGTAACATCACATGCTGGGGCCTATTGTGGGGTGGGGGGATGGGTAGGGATAGCATTAGGAGAAGTACCTAATGTAGATAATGAGTTAATGGGTGCAGCAAACCAACATGGCACATGTATACATATGTAACAAACCTGCAAGTTGTGCACATGTGCCCTAGAACTTAAAGTATTAAAAAAAAATACACTTAAGAAATGTGCTCAGAACACTTACATTAGCCAGTCCAAAAAAAAAATCTAACCTAAAGCCTATTTTTAAATAAAGTGTTGAATATCACATGTAAATTATTAAATACTGAATGTGAAAAACGGAATGGGTATATGGGTAATAAAAGCATTGTTTCTACTGAATGTTTATCACTTTTGTACCATGATAAAGCTGTAAAGTTGTACCATTGTAAATCTGGGACCATCTGTGTTACATTCAAGAGAAAAGCTCAGTCGAACTAATAAATAAATCAAAATTTCTTCTGATTATTTAGGTGTTTTTTCCTGTTAGATAATTAAGACATCCAACTGTTGCTTGCTGCTTCACCACACAGACCATACACAGATACAAATACACACTCCATGAATGAGCATATGTGCTTGTTTAAAGAGACATACTAACCAAACAGTTGTATGCTGCCGTGATATTGATTATGTCATCAAGTTCCTTATTTAACAAAACAGAACTGTGTATGAAGTATTTCTCTAAAATGTACATTCAATAGCAACTGGTTTTGTTCAGTCTTATGTACCCATATTATTTAAATGAGCACCTGGAGTCTAGAATTAACTAAAAAATATCTATGTTGATGCATATTAAGTTGATTTTGAAGTCATAAATTTTGACAAGAATTGATACTATGGCACTGTCATAACTTTACAAAAGATGACCTGAACTAACATGATTTTATGCTTTTACCAGTGGAACTCCCTGAAATATATTCAGATAATTTGTTATTAAAGCAAAACTAAGTTTATTGAAACCCTGTGCCAAGAAAGTACACCATTTTGACATACTTTTGCAGTGTTTCAGCAGGGAAGAGTGAGAGGAAGATTTTTCATGTTTGTGGAGAATGGCTTAAGAGAGTTAAATGAGTCTTTCAAAGTGAGTAGCTGATTGAAATTGAGCTAAACTCAGAGCATAATAGTTTAGATAGTCTAAGAAATTGAAAAAAAAGTTGATGCCAAGCATACAAGAAATAACACCACCAAAAAATAGACCTAAATACAGACAAAATTAGATTAAAAACAAGAATATGTTCAATGTTAATAAAAGCAAAAGGAACATAGACATAGTTATGGAGGAGTTTTGTTTTGTTTTAATAAGATAAAAATATGGTTAGTTTTATAGCAATACACCTGGAAATCTGGATCAATTCTGTCCACTATAGTCATTACTAGTGACATGTAGATATTGAACACTTGAAATATGGTGGATTTGAATTGATTTATGCTATATGTAAAATACAAACTAGATTTAGTTTAAAAAATGTAAAACTGAATAATTTTAATATTGTTTTATGCTGAGATGACAATATTTTGGATATACTGGATTAAATACATATAAAATATTGTTAAAAATCAAGTAGTATAGTAAAATTGGTCTTTTTGTTTTACTTTTTTATTTTGTTTTGGTTTTTGAAGGGATAGAAATCATGGCTAAGATGGACCCTGGGGCATATCATTGACCATCATGAAACATGCACTGATTTGCCAAATGTATTATTTTCCTGTGGCTGTTATAAAAATCACAATACACTTAGTAGTTTAAAACAACATAAATTTATTGTCTAGCAGTATTCCAGGTTAGAAGTTCAACACAGGTCTTACTGATTTAAAATCAAAGCATTGGAAGACTGCATTCCTTCTATAGGCTCTGTGGAATAATCCATGACCTGGCCTTTCCCAGGCTTTAGAATCCAGCTGCATTCTTTGATGCATGTTCCCTGTCTTGGGCAGCTTGGAATACTGTAAGAAAATACCATAGACCGGGTGACTTAAACAACTGACATTTATTTCTCAGAGTTCTGAAAGTTGGGAAGTCCAAGATTAAGGTGCTGGTATATTTGGTTCGTGGTGAGGGCCCACTCCCTCTCTGGTTAGTAGATGGCCTCCTTCTCTCTGTGTTCACATGGCCTTTCCTGGATACATGTTTACGGAGAGAGAAAGAGAAGGGTGGTTGGGTGGGAGGTGGTCTAGTATCTCCACCTTTTCTTATAAGAACACTAACATTATCATGAGAACACCACACTTAGGACATTATCTCAACCTAGGTTCCTCCCAAAAGCTCCATCTCCAGATACTATCACACTGCCAATTAATAGATCATTGAAAATAATCTATGAATATTTGAACAATGCCAATCATCTTCAATAGATTAATTTTAGGGAGACACAAATATTCAGTTCATAACAGTTCCTTTCCTTGACCTTCAAAGCTACAAATGAAGGAGCAAGTCTTCACATTCTCCTTTTATATCTCCCTCTTCTACGTGTAA
Source organism: Homo sapiens (assembly GCF_000001405.40). Classification (NCBI taxonomy): domain Eukaryota; kingdom Metazoa; phylum Chordata; class Mammalia; order Primates; family Hominidae; genus Homo; species Homo sapiens. The sequence continues at coordinate 360,143 of NW_025791777.1, read as the reverse complement.
AGAATCTTATGATTGCATTTGGCCATCTAAAAATCTATGATAGTCTCTCCATTTCAAAATCCTTAACTCTAATTGCATTTGCAAAGTCTGTCCTGCCAGGTAAGCTAACAAATTTATAAATTATCTGGATTAAGACCGCATCATCTCTGAAGAGCCATTATTCTGACTACCACATCAGTATGTTAGTTTATGTCAAGATTGCTGTAATAATCAATAGGTTCTGGTACCACAAATCCAGTAGCAGTCATTAAGGTTGATTGAGTTTATTGATTGCTTTCAGCTCCATTCTGCTATTAATCACTTTTGGGGATATAAAATGAAGACCTTATCACATAGAGGAAGAGGTAGATGTGATAGGAGCTTGAATATGTAATAAGAATTTTTTATGATATGTAAATGTGAGAAATGAATTAAGTATGTGCCATTTGTTCTCTTCTTTTTAAGACATTTCTTTCTAAAGGTTTAGTGACAGAAGTTGCATTCTATTAAAGATCCCTAAGTGCTGTTCTGCTGTAGGCATAAGCTTTCTTTCCTGGGTGCAGCATGTTAGGATTTAAGATTTCTATTTATCTAATACTCTGCTGTTTGTCAGATAAAATAACAATAAATAGTGAGTCCAATTATTGATAAACCCAGATGTTTCATATTTAGGAATCGATGTTAAAAAAAAAAAACTCTAATTGGCATCCTAAGGAAAATGTGTGCAGCTTAGCACTGATTCAACTGCATGTTTAGCCAAATTGTGAACAAATTACGGCCAGCTTCCGGACTCTTCTAGAGAGTGACTAAGGACGGCATAGAGGAATTAGGAATAGTAGCTTTATAGGTAAAGTAATTAAATGTAACCTTAAGCATAAAAAGATAAAGTTAACTAGGAAAATGAAAACTCAAGATATACAGATTAAATATGACAAACAATGGATCTTTTTTTGTGGATCTTGGTTTGCAGATACCGATATCTCATATAGTGATTCACTTGATCCAAAGGCATTTGATGGAAGCTGTCTTCTCCCAAAGACTATTTGCTTTTGGAAGAATCCTAAGAGTCATTAGTTAGAAGTTTTTGGTAGGGATACTTTCCTGTAATATGAAGATGACCTAAACCTCTTTACTTGAGAGATAGGAATCAAAGGATCAGTCTTTTAAAGACTATGGGTTTGCTAGTTGTTAGCTGTGCCTGATAGTGACTTTTTTCCTATGATCTTTCCCTGCCGTGTCTCTTAGAAGACAAGGTATCCAGGTATGAAAACCAATTTTGCAGACATTGTTTAGGATACTAATGGGGAAAGTCTTCAGTAACTTTTGTTGAAAGAATGGATTTCCTGAGTCCTTACAGCATTTAGTTAAATAAGTGTAGATTTCTAGAATCAGAGCTAATATTCCTAGACACTTGGTTTAGCTGTTACTAACTCATGAACCACAGAAAGAAGAAATACCTTAGACCATGCAAGTTTGACGATCTCTGTGAACTTTACCAACTTTAGTTTCAGAATTCCATCTTTCTACCTTCCCAAAAGGTTGAAAGTGATATGGACAGTGAAGTCTGATTAATTGACAGAACTTTTCCATGTTAATAAAAATTCCGGTAAAATGGTTTCCTTGTTACTAGAGATATAGTTTGGGATTCCCCAGGCTGAAAAAAAAAAAAAGGATTTTCTCCATGCCAACAAGAGACAAATAATGATCAGAACATATTTAAAATCTATTGCCAGCACTTGTTATGAAAAATTCATTTAGATTTTTACTGAGACATTTTACAGTTTTGTTAGGATTAATCTGACGAAGGTTGAGACAAGTTGTAAGGATATAGTTATATAAAGATATACTTACCAATTTTAGCAAAATTTTCCCCCAGCTATTGGTTAAATACATTGGTCAATTTGTCCTCATTGTGCCAGAAAAGCTCAGCAGTTCTGACTAAAGTTTATGTTAACCCATTGCCAGTAGAATGAAAGAGTTGAATCCTCTCTTAAATTATAATATATAGTTGACTCCTCAACAACACAGGTTTGAACTGTGCAGGTCTGCTCATATGTAGATTTTTTCCTATAAATATATTAGAAAATTTTTGGAGATTTATGAAAAATTGAAAAAGATAACAGGTGACCCATCTACACAAGAAATATTAAAAAACTAAGAAAACGATGTCATGAATGCATAAATCATATGTAGATACTAGTGATCATTTAATACAATGAAATATATATGCGTCTATTATAAAAAGTTAAAATTTATCAAGACGTAGGCAAACACAGAGCATACATGCAGCCAATTGAAGTTTAGAGAAAAGTAAAACAAAAATATACAAAAGTAAATCATAACTGCACAAAATTAACTGTAGTACATACTGTACTACTGGGATAATTTCCTAGCCTCCACCTGTTGTTCTTGCAGTGAACTCAAGTGTTGTGAGTATTCACTTAAAATGCCACATAATGCTAATCATCTTCTTGTGAGTAGCTTGTCTCTCCAGTAAATTAACACAGTAAAAAGTGTTCTCTCATGTTTCTCCTGTATTATTCATGATGTCTAGTGCAATACCATAAACCTTGAATAACACCTTCAGACCTATAAAAAGTGCTGCTAGTGATGCTGAAAGTTCTTCCAGGAAACAGAGAAGGGTCCTGACATTACAGGAAAACAATGAATTGCTTGATAGGTACCCTAGATTGAGGCCTGCAGCTGTGTGTGCTGCCATTTCAGAAGAAGGATCCATCTTGTAAACACAGGATTGTAAACTTATGAGAGAAATAAATATACTGTAGTACTGTAAACGTATTTTTTCTTCCCTATAATTTTCTTAATAACACTTTCTTTTCTGTAACTAGCTTCATTGTAAAACTACGGTGTAAAATACATACAGCGTATGAAATATGTGTTAAGGATTGTCCAGTCAACAGTAGGCTGTTAGTTTAGTTTTGGGGAGTCCAAAGTTATATGTGAATTTTTGACTGTGCTGGGGTGGTGGGGAGGGGTTAGGGAGGTTTGATGGCCCTAAACCTTGTGTTTTTCAGGAGTCAACTGTACAATTTAGAAGAATATGATTTAGAATTTCCCTGAGATTAAGAACATATTAAATGGTGGGAAGGATATTGATAGACCTCTAGATCTAGTGACACTATCAACTTTGACTGTGTCTGTTTGATGAAGGAATTAAAATCTAGTAACAAAAGCATTTTGTAGATAGTTATTGTACCAGTCTTTGTTCTTGAACATCAGTGTGTTTTTTTGAACTGAAAATCACACATTGAATGAAAGGCTTCATCTCAATATATTTTATTTACACATAAATTTGAGCTGTTTTTTGTTCACAAGTTTGGCCGATAAAAGAGCCCTCACAATAGCTTTAATTACCATTTAAAATTACAAATTAATGTGATTTTTTAATTTTTCTCTCTTTTGTAGGGTGAAGGAGCAATGCTTTTGGTTACTCAGTATTCTCTCAAGAAAATTTAAAGATAGTTTATACACAGAAGATATTTTAACAGGTTATATTCTGAACTTGTGGCCCGGATTTGGAAAAAGCAGTATCAAGTATGGTTCAAGGGGACAAGAAAGAGAGAAGCATTTGTTACCATTTTTCCAAGTCAAAAATATTTAATCAGATAATATTTTAAAAGCCAGCAATAATTAGTAATGATTGGTATAATGTTTTTGTCAAAATTATTAAATAGGAGATAAAATTAAAAGCTTTATTTTTTTGCATTCAAATAAAATTTTAAGTATTTTGATGAGCTTATTAAATCAACAATGCATGTATTACATTGAACCTGACTTCTTAATAAGTTGCAACCAAATCTTTAATGATAAGTTTAGGTCAGAGAGATAATTTTGAGATTTGTCACCATAAAGATAGGGTATAATGTGATGTAAATAATTAAGATCAGGTGGAAAGACAAATAAGATTGAAGGAAGACCCAAGACCAAGGTTTGGGGCACTCTCAGAAGTTCTAAAAAAAAAATTTAGACTATGAGTAAAGAAGGATTGATCAGCAAGGTGAAATGGATCAAGGAAATGTGGGCACTCAGAGGTACAGAGGGGTTAATTGCTGCTCAGAAAATACTCAGACGAATGCTGAACAATAGATTAGATAGAACCGATGTCCTAGAAATCATGAAGATAAGTGACTTTATTAAAATACATATTATAAACAAAGAAGGAATTTACTGTTCGAAAAGTTGTCTTGAAGAATTGTTTTGGGAGAAAATAAAAAATAAACCTTATTTTCTAAAATACACTAAAACTAATTCCAAATGAGTCAAAGGATTGTGTACAGATATTTTAAATTAATAAAACAATGTTAGTGCAGATTCTCTTTAATTACTTCCCTGATTGTTTTACCTATAGTAACTCATTTAATTCTACTAGCAATCTTTTCATGTTGGATACAGCTATTCAAATTTTCTTTTGTTATTGCAATAGCCTCCTAACCATTCTTCCACAAAATTGAGGCACTAAAAGGTTGTGAAATTTCCTCTATGCCACAGAGCTTTTTAGTGATGATTTGGCATTTGGAAGCACATCTTTGAAATGTTCATTTTTCTCTGATGGCCAGTGATGGTGAGCATTTCTTCATGTGTTTTTTGGCTGCATAAATATCTTCTTTTGAGAAGTGTCTGTTCATGTCCTTCGCCCACTTTTTGATGGGGTTGTTTGTTTTTTTCTTGTAAATTTGTTTGAGTTCATTGTAGATTCTGGATATTAGCCCTTTGTCAGATGAGTAGATTGTGAAAATTTTCTCCCATTCTGTAGGCTGCCTGTTCACTGTGATGGTAGTTTCTTTTGCTGTGCAGAAGCTCTTTAGTTTAATTAGATCCCATTTGTCAATTTTGGCTTTTGTTGCCATTGCTTTTGGTGTTTTAGACATGAAGTCCTTGCCCACGCCTGTGTCCTGAATGGTAATGCGTAGGTTTTCTTCTAGGGTTTTTATGGTTTTAGGTCTAACGTTTAAGTCTTTAATCCATCTTGAATTAATTTTTGTATAAGGTGTAAGGAAGGGATCCAGTTTCAGCTTTCTCCATATGGCTAGCCAGTTTTCCCAGCACCATTTATTAAATAGGGAATCCTTTCCCCATTGCTTATTTTTCTCAGGTTTGTCAAAGATGAGATAGTTGTAGATATGCGGCGTTATTTCTGAGGGCTCTGTTCTGTTCCATTGATCTATATCTCTGTTTTGGTACCAGTACCGTGCTGTTTTGGTTACTGTAGCCTTGTAGTATAGTTTGAAGTCAGGTAGCGTGATGCCTCCAGCTTTGTTCTTTTGGCTTAGGATTGACTTGGCAACGCGGGCTCTTTTTTGGTTCCATACGAACTTTAAAGTAGTTATTTCCAATTCTGTGAAGAAAGTCATTGGTAGCTTGATGGGGATGGCATTGAATCTATAAATTACCTTGGGCAGTATGGCCATTTTCACGATATTGATTCTTCCTACCCATGAGCATGGAATGTTCTTCTATTTCTTTGTATCCTCTTTTATTTCATTGAGCAGTGGTTTGTAGTTCTTCTTGAAGAGGTCCTTCCCATCCCTTGTAAGTTGGATTCCTAGGTATTTTATTCTCTTTGAAGCAATTGTGAATGGGAGTTCACTCATGATTTGGCTCTCTGACTGTCTGTTATTGGTGTATACAAATGCGTGTGATTTTTGTACATTGATTTTGTAACCTGAGACTTTGCTGAAGTTGCTCATCAGCTTAAGGAGATTTTGGGCTGAGACAATGGGGTTTTCTAGATATACAATCGTGTCATCTGCAAGCAGGGACAATTTGACTTCCTCTTTTCCTAATTGAATACCCTTTCTTTCCTTCTCCTGCCTAATTGCCCTGGCCAGAACTTCCAACACTATGTTGAATAGGAGTGGTGAGAGAGGACAAATCAAAACCACAGTGAGATACCATCTCACACCAGTTAGAATGGCAATCATTAAAACGTCAGGAAACAACAGGTGCTGCAGAAGATGTGGAGAAATAGGAACACTTTTCCACTGTTGGTGGGACTGTAAACGAGTTCAACCATTGTGGAAGTCAGTGTGGCGATTCCTCAGGGATCTAGAACTAGAAATACCATTTGACCCAGCCATCCCATTACTGGGTATATACCCAAAGGACTATAAATCATGCTGCTATAAAGACACATGCACACGTATGTTTATTGCGGCACTATTCACAATAGCAAAGACTTGGAACCAACCCAAATGTCCAACAGTGATAGACTGGATTAAGAAAATGTGGCACATATACACCATGGAATACTGTGCAGCCATAAAAAATGATGAGTTCATGTCCTTTGTAGGGACATGGATGAAATTGGAAATCATCATTCTCAGTAAACTATCACAAGGACAAAAACCCTAAGACCGCATGTTCTCACTCATAGGTGGGAATTGAACAATGAGAACACATGGACACAGGAAGGGGAACACCACACGCTGGGGACTGTTGTGGGGTGGGGGAAGGGGGGAGGGAAAGCATTAGGAGATATATCTAATGCTAAATGACGAGTTAATGGGTGCAGCACACCAGCATGGCACATGTATACATATGTAACTAACCTGCACATTGTGCACATGTACCCTAAAACTTGAAATATAATAATAATAAAATTTAAAAAAAAATGTTCATTTTTAATTATAGCACTACACCATGCACTGAATCACGGAGGGTAAAAATGCACACTGTTAATAAGAAGGAGGGAGTCAATCTCATTAGTATTATAATATTTATACTGAATGAGACTCCATTCCCGAAATTCACAGAATTAAAATAATAAAAATAAAAATTTATTGCTAGCCAATTTGCAGCAAAAAAGATTCATTCTCATATTCTGCTATGAGAAAATAAATGAAATTGAATTTTAAAAGACATTTTTGGAAAGCCCTTTGAATTAACCAGAAAATTGTTAAATTCGTAGTTTTTTTGACTAACATTCTTCTTCCACGTTAACAGAATTTATATATAAGTGACACTCATTGCATATACTTTTAAGGGGTAAAATAATTACTAAATTTATGTACACTATTAATACTTCATTGTATAAAATTGCATATATACCCATATGCAAATGTGCACAGAATCAATAGGGTAACCATAGACATAAAATGATCAGTGCAGGATATTTTATTTATGCATTTTATATATAATATACTTTTCATTTAATATTTTTGCTAATTTTATTGAATTGAATATTTATGCCTTGGTTATAGAACAACTAAATTTATTTTCAAAGAAACTCCATTATTATTGTCTGCAAGAGTAAAACTTATAAACAATCTAAAAATTCAACCAAATACAACCATTTACAATTGTGCCCTGGTTGAATTTGTAATCGTAGGAGAAAACACAGGTGTTGAATTTTTTGAGTTTCATTTAAAAAATAATTGACACAATCCCTAAGGTATCATATAAATTAATTGAATTGTTATTGTCTTGGGTTAACATTTATTTCTAGAGTTTTTTTTCCCCTAATATCTGATTTTTTCCATTAACATTACTTATTTGGATAATCAGAAAAAAATCAACATTGCCAAAAGATAGATAATACCACAAGCGAAATATCTATGATAATGATAGGAAAATGCTTTGAATTCAGGCTGAATGAGAATTAGTCTAGGAAAACAGCTTGGACCCTCTCATTCCTGTTAATGTCATCTCTGTGTTTAGCACTGCTGCTATTCCTCAGCTACTAAGAAATGCTCTATTGCTGGGCATGGCATATGGGAAGCCAAGAAAAATGACTGGCTGCTTGGTGACAGCTCTCTAGTCCTCATGCCAAGTTCTGCCAGTGATTTAAATATTAAGTAATGGAAAGAATTTTGAAATCCAGGATGATTAGAAAAGTCATTTTCTACAAAAGTGAAGCATTGTCTTTAGAGATTAAAATCTATGAAAATAACATTATTGAAATACTAGACTTCAGACTATTTTTCTGAATTACTGTAACTGTTGAAATAGGTCTTTCAGCCCATTAAGATAAACACCACACTTTTCTCTTCATGATCTCCAGCTGTAATTTTATAGTGAAAGGTGCTTGCATAAAAGAGTTCACACTATCTGAAAGATGTCACATGTAACATTGACTGGCAGCCATTTCAGAATGGCAGACAGCCAATAAATCATTCAGAACTATGTGTCACTCGTTGTGGCTTTAAAATTGTATTCCTTCTCCTTTGATAAAGAACATTTCAATGTCAAATAGTTTGTTCTATTTAAACTTATACATCAACCAGAATATTGAGATACACAATAAAATTAAATGATTTGGTAATACCTTTAGAATTTATCTAAAAACAGCCGTATGTATTTGCATGACAGATTTGGTTCACAAACGGATCAAGTTGTTAGTATCAAAGGCATGTTTTAGTGCTGATTTGTGTATAGATAAATTTAGGAAATTACATAAATAGAAATACTTCTTTATAAAATTCCTTGACCTTGTGATATCTTGGTATTAAGAATCTTAAAGGAATCATTTAAAAAAATTCAAAAGCAAACAATTTCGATTTTACAAGAGCTAAGAAAAAAACATTTTGCTATGGACACAGATCGCTCTTCAAGAAAAGATTTCTTTCCCCCTTGGCTGCTAGGAGCAATATTACAAAGCAGCCTTCAGCTCTCAGCTCCTTCAAAGTTTGCCTCAGCTGTAACCATTGTCTGGCTCAATGTTAGGGCATCCTGGAGCACTGGACATGCAAACACGAATGGAGATGAGGTTATAAAGCCTGGCCATTTTGACCCACCTGAGAGGATTCTGACAGGTCCTTCCAGTGCCTGAGAAACCCAGGGCTCACATGCTTTATATTCTGATCATTCTGTAGGGGTTGTTCCCATGGGTGATAGAAGCTGCCAAATATAAAGAGGCAACCATGCAAATTTTTAGGAATTATTTCCAAAACTCTCATAACAACATCATATATATTTATTGGTTGTTTAAGTAGATTTCTGAGGAGTAGATAGCAACGATAGAAGTGAAAGAAAGTAAATGCAGTTGTTAAAGGATTAGTCTTCCCATACTTAGAAAGTACACAAGTTGCATATACACTATGTTCCTTCCCTAGAGCAAGTATTTCAATGCAGTCATGTGTGTGTGTTTGTGTGCTTGTGTGTGTGTGGTGTGTGTGTGTGTGTGTGTATGCTAACTGAACTCATTATAGATTTTATTGGATCAGATATATGAAGAGACTTGGAAGACTTGGGTTTGTCTGGAACTGGGTGAAATAGAGAAGGACGATCATTGACATAGAAAGCTGATTACTTTGTCCTTTGAGTATAAATAGTCTTACAATAAAATGGCATCTCCACTGTCTAAAACACATTTTTACATTTGCTCTCCTTCTGAAATTATTTATGTGAAATTAACAAATGTACTTATTACCTTAGAAACAAACGATCCGTAATTTATATTATTTATTGTATATTTGTAGATCCACTTAAAATTGATTTGCAATATAAGGAAAAAATGCGTTTTATAAGTTGTTTGCTTTGTGTAGTGCATCTTGTTAACCGTAGGACTACTGTTGCATTGAAACAAAATAGAATTAATCTGTTCAGGTAAATAGAACTGGAAGTGAGATTTGTTGTCACTCCTTCTCCTTCAAGTACTGACCAGTCTTTTAATTCACACATAACTAACACTCTGTGCAATAATATTTTTTTGTTCTCTGTCTTTTCAAACAGAACTCAAGCTCCATGAGGAGATGTTTCATTGTCGGTGAGCACATTCTTGTCAATTAGTTCCTTCTTGTTTCTTACTATAGCCCCTGTGTCTAGAACCTTTCCAGGTATTCAGTAGCCATTTAAAAATTATTTGTTGAATGAATTGTTATTTTAAAGAACATCCACAATTTTGCCTGACTGGGCATGGGAATACATGCCCATCTTTGGACTGAATGTCCATTTTTCCCTTCTTTGATTTATCAAAATATTGGTTAAATGATCAGGACTACCGTCAGAAGGAATTTTATATCTAAAAATAGTTTACCTTCTATGGATGTAAAAAATAGTTGTAGTAGTTCTGGCTTTTATATTATTCGATGTTTCAAAGCGGTTTTTTTTTTCCATCACCATATTCTACGTTCTTGAAAAGTACTCGTTCATGTGACTGCTATCATTTATGCTTGTGCAGCACGTAGATACAGGAGAGAAGATAAGGAAAATGCTTACCCTGTGTCTCCTTCCCTGTAACACAGTTTTTTTTACCATATTGATTCTCCACTTTCTACTCCCTAAGTAAAATTTTGCAACAGGCATTTGGGAAACTCTGGATACAAGAAAAAAATTTTAATATTGTACAAAGAGACAAGAGGTGACTTCTTTTTTATTTTTCATTTAGAGTTTATAGTTTAATTAAAGAAAATGCACATATATCTAAAGATAATCATGGATAATACACTCATGTAATTACTACTTTCAGTGGTTGTAACAACAGCCAAAGCACAAACAGAAATGAGAAAGAATTATCAGCATTATGCAAGTACATATCCTCTTTAAGAATTCCTGTTATAGTGAAAGCATTAAAATAATTGAACACGTACAGAGACCATATACTTTGTGATCTTTTTAAAAAAGTATTCAAAATATATTTCTGTGTGCAAAACATTTTCATAATGGTCTTGTTTAAATGAAAGTATTTAGAATAGCACATTGTAAAATTATGCTGCAGAGCACAAGTATTTTTCTCTTTAGAAGACACATAATAAAATAGAATCATCAGTGTTTTTTCATAAACATGAATCTTTAGAGTGTTACTTGATCCTGCATAATAAGGGTACTTTTTTGCTTAATGTAAGCATAGTATACTAATTCTTTTAAACTTCAGAAAGCATATTTACAGTCTAGGCAGATGGGACATGAAGGTCACACAGCATGAGCAGTGAAATATCTCATTTACCTAGAGTTCTAGAGAGAATTTTAGGAACTCTTATTTATTATCAGTGCATAAACAAGAGTAAACTCTACAAAACTGTTTGCAAAACTCTCCTCTTTCTACTCAGAAGGCTTTCCCTAGAATAATCATTATGGAGTCTGTCCATCCTTTACTCATTCACTGCATGGGGACAGGTGTTAGTTATGAGATTGGTGAATTTAGAAAGCTAACCAATTTCATACCTATTTTGGGATTCTCAATTCACAAACTTTTGTGCGTTTCTTAATTATTTCCTTTCTTTTTCTTGTAGAGAGCAGTCATGATGGCCTGCACTCCACACAATGCAACAGAGTGAAAGAGCAGGTTCTGCTTCTTTGGTGTAGTCCTGAAGCTTCCTAAGAAACTTCACATCAGGTGATGGATAGGAGCAACCCTGTAAAACCAGCCTTAGACTATTTTTCAAACAGTAAGTAATAAAGGTGACGTTTTGATCTTTATCTGCTTAATTACTTCTGCTATGATTCTATTGATTCTAACATTGAAGGAGCAGTAAATTTATATGTATTATCCAACTATAAAACAATAAATAAACGATATGTCAAATACATTATCACATCCTTATGTTCTTATGATAATATTGTCCTTTTTTTAACAGTTTTTATTCTTATTTGTTGATTGGTTTGTCTTTATGTTGTCCTTTCTACTATCAAACTGAACATGTTGAGGTCATAGGCTATCAAAACTGTACATTTCTGATGCTAACCATAGAGACTTAACAACAGTAAATAGGCCAAAATGGAATGTTGTTAGCCATAGTGTGTATTATTATTTCTTTTATACATGTGGTCACTGTTAGAGGAGTTTATGACTTTTTGCCTAGATTAATGACACACAAACCATCTACAAACGAATCATACCTTATTCCCTCACTGTAATTTTTAATGTTGCTATTTTTGCCTGTTAACATTCCATAGGTTTATCACATTGCTTAAAGATTTAATTTAATTTCTGTAATTGTATATGTCATGAGAGATTGCTTTTAACCTTCCAATGTTCGTGGTCTCATTTTCACTAACATAATCCCAACTTTAGCTGCGCACAATACCACATTTCCCAGCATTCCTTGCATCTGGATATAGCTGTATTCAAATAAGCCGTGTGAAACTTCTGGGATGGCTCCTTAAGTGCAGTTGACTCATTAGGGAGGTATGTCTTTTTTATTTTTCTACACTTTGTGCTGCTGTCCTGGAGTACAGACATGGTGGCTAGAAGCATGAAATCACCTTGAAGGTAGAAGTCATGCATTGAAGTTAGTAAAAGTGAAATGTAAGTGTATAGTTTCCTGATGAAAATGGGAAGCTTATGTACTAGCAACAGAATGCTTATTATGCAGGCTTCCTATATGTAAAAGAGGACAAATTCTCATTTTATTAAGTTTCTGAAAGTAGATTTCTAAATGCTGGTTCTATTTTTTATTGAAAGTAATGGCAAAAAACGCAATGCCTTTTGTACCAACCTAATAGTTAATAAACATATCCTCAAATGAAATGTCTTAGAATTGTGTTCATCAAGTTAATATTAATAATTTATTAGAATAGCACTCTAAAGGGTTGCAGCCTATGCATGAAAATACTTACAAACTACTACATGATAATCAATTCTTTTTGGCAAGACTGCTATTTACATGGACACAAGAGTTATTATAAGAATGTTGTATGTATACATGAATAGTGTCTGTTAAACACTGGATATAATAAAAACAATAGTTTTTCTGTTAATTATAACAATCTGAACATTTTTGTGATTATATTTCACAAATGACACACCATTTTATTTGCAGATTTTTCTTATCCCCAAAGTTTTTGTTAATTTATTACCAACACAGCACACAAGTCTAGTGGCAATGCATTACCTCTGCAGTTGATTTTGAAGTAAGAAGGCCTATTTATTGCATTCATTCCTGCTTAGATGACATCTTAAATTTGTTAATTGGATTATTATGCTCTATTCTATAAATTTATTGATTTATAGATTTTGTGGACACAAATTTCAAAACATATTCGAAAATTTGGTGATAGCTTTTTAGAATCTATTCTTCAACATAGTTATTGAAAGTGAACAAGAAGGACCTCCTCTAGAGATTAGGTTGAGAACCACTTCTTTGATTTGTTAAATATGTGTACATGGATACCATGTGGCTTTATTATGAGGAGCCACTTAAGTGGCTGAGTTACAATTCACAAAACATTGTCACAGGGAAAATATCAGGACAAATTTTCAAGTCGCATGCCAAGAAAAGAGACTTTCTGAATGCTTATAAGAAATACCTTAATTAATGGGAGCCCTTCAAAGTACACAAAACATCATAACTAGGAGTTGCAACACAACCAGCAATTTGCTGATTGAAATGCATTCATTCATACTGACTTCACCTGCTGAATGGAATATTGTGCTGTACTGTCCTTAGCTATGGAGAGAGAATTAAGGAATATCCCCTTCTGGTGTTCAACAACAACGAAAGAGCAAGAAAGATATATTCCTAATTTTTAAAGAAGAATGTAGAGATACTTAAACAAGACAATGAAGGTGGTAGAAAGATTATTACCATCCCCAAAGTGTTTGCTCATTAAAACATTTTGTGATTTTCTCTGCCAATATCATACCTGTATGGATAATTGTTTTCCTATCCACACAGTTATGAGAGTGAGAAGATGGAATATAAAAGATGGAACAAGAGGGAATCTGTGTGGTGACCACAGTAATCACAGGCTGGTTGGGATCCTAAACTCGGCCACAGCACAAAAGCATGTTCAAGTTTAAAGTCATGAGAGAGGCCTGGCATAGTGGCTCACACCTATAATCCCTGCACTTTGGGAGGCCAAGGTGGGAGGATTGCTTGGGGCAAAGAGCTCAAGATCAGCCTGGGCAACATAGTGAGATCCCATCTAAAAAAATGTTCTTTAAGTTAGCCTTATGTGGTGGCATGTTCCTGTGGTATCAGCTACTCAGGTGGCTGAAGTGGGAGGGTCACTTGAGCCTGGAGGTTGAGCCATAATCATGCCACTGCACTCCAGCCTTGGTGACAGATTAAGACTCTGTCTCCAAAAGTAAAACACCAAACAACACAAAAAGTAAAGTCACAATAAAATGAGATGCTATTAAGGTTGTTTTAGGTTGATTTTCAACTAGACCAGCATTTAGCCTGTACAAAGGCATATACAAAATAAACCCTAAACCTAAATGGGATTCAGCAGCAGCAGTGTGGGTTAAAGAAGCCACCAGTTCCCTGGAGGCCAGAACCACAGGCCTGTGGCCTTTTTTATTGTTTTGACAGGGAGGTGGAAAGCAGGAGTATAACTACATTCAAGTGTCTGCTCTGTTGCTGTAGGAGAAAATCCGTGCTGTAGCACATCAAAGTTTTTCCAAATTTTATTTCTTAGGACATCTTTGGGGTTTATGTAAGTATTAAATAGAGCTCCCCTAGCCCAGGCTTACACAGGACATATGTCTAGTGTCATAGGTCTGTATGCTTAAATTATAGCAGAAAGTTTGCTAAAATTTAAGTGAAGTAATGTTGAAGGTTGAATCATTTGAAACAAACTACCTGCACCAAAATATTCTTTAGTGTACTGATTTCTGTCCCACCCCTAATGAGGCTGAATTTTAATCTTAACTCTGCTTGTAATTAGGTATTTATATGTGTCTGTTATTCATTTTTTAACAAGATGTCTCTTCAGAGATAAAATGAGGGTAGCAAAAAATAATTTTAATAGCCATTTATATGGCTTTGATAACAATTGTCTGTTCTACTTATCTGACTGATTCTAAACTCTAAAGGTTATTTTACAGTTAGTAAATTACATAATTTTTATGCAACAATTTGCCTGCCAGGATTCCTATAATACTTGTCAGCTATCAGTAGGTATAAGCCTGTTAGCCTCTAATGTGAAGATAATATCTCTTTAAGTTATAACGCATTTACAATTGTTACAGTTTCTAAGGTCTTTTTGAAGTTAGAGATGCATCTGAGGATGATGGTTTTCAAGGAGATAGCTCTTTGACAAAAAATGACAATATGGGACTTAGTGTTATATTAATTTACACATTATGTTTTTGCTATAAAGATAAAAGGTGTGCTATACTACCTATCAATTACTGTATGCCACATTTTGTAGAATTGTTTTCCATATTATTGTAGAATGTGGCACTTAAATAGTATCATGAAAAAAGTTTATTCAAGAAATAAGACATTAATGAAATATAATTAATATATAAAGACTATATTTAAAAATAATTATGTATTTCTAATCCTAAACTTTTTAAGGTGACATTATTTTTTTCTGTGATATAATTTCAGTTGAGAAGAACTTTAAATTTTAATAAGATTTTAAGATGATTCAGTAATGTTAACATACTTTTCTTCTGTAAATTTTGTTAACAATTTAGCTGCATTAATTAAATATTTATGTAGCTAATTTTAATAGTGATATTTTAATACAATTCTTAATTTTACTCCTGGCTTTCAATCATTCATATATGTTTTTAAAAATTGCTTTTTCCATTGCTTTACTTCTTAATTACTTTTATCAAAGTCTTAATTGTGTGTGGTTGATTTTAAAAGTTAAATATTTCTATAAGATTTATAAAGACAAACTGGGTACAGTGACTCACACCTGTAATCCCAGCACTTTGGGAGGCCGAGGGGGTAGATCACTTGAGGTCAGGAGTTCGAGACCAGCCTGGCCAACATGGTGAAAGCAGTTTCTACTAAAAATACAAAGATATGCCTGGTGTGGTGGTTGGCCCCTGTAATTCCAGCCACTTGGGAGGCTGAGGCAGGAGAATTGCTTGAACCTTGGAAGCGGAGGTTGCAGTGAGCTGAAACCATGCCATTGCACTCCAGCCTGGGCAGCAAGAGCGAAACTCCATCACAAAAAAAAAAAAAAAAAAAAAAAAATATATATATATATATATATATATATATATATATATATATATATATATATATTATATATTATATATATGTATGTATGTATATATAAATGTATATGTGTGTGTATATATATATATATACACACTATATATATATATACACACACACAATAGAAATGTCCTGGCTATATCTATATTAATAGGTTTTGCACATTTAAACCAAAGTCACACATATGGTTTGATTCTAATTAATTCTAATGCATCTTGCAGGTTTCAAACTGTATTCTATTATGTAATTATCTGCTGATCCACTCTGTATCCTGTTGTGTAAGTTGCGATGATTAACCTCTGCCTTTACGATGTAATCCAAATGTAGCATATAGACCTCAATGATAAGATTGATCATGGTGCATTTAATCATTAATTTATTATTAATCTCTTTTATCCTGGTACTTAGAGTGCAGATTTTTCTCAACAACTATTTACGCAATCATTAAATGAAATATAGCCTTGTGTCACTTAGCAATGAGGATATGTTCTGAGAAGTGTGTGGCTAGGTGATTATCTTACTGTGCAAACTTCATAGAGTGATCAATCTATAATGGTGATAGCAATTTTTCAACCCTATTATAATCTTAATGAGCCATTGTTTTACATGCTGTCTCTTATTGATGTAAACGTTGTTATGTGGCACATGATTATATAAAAGATATTAATCCATTCATTATTTATGCATTCATCCATTTGACCTATGGTAGTGTTCTATTGAAAATGAGTCATTGTGATATAGAAATCCACTGTTAGTTGTTTTTACTTTCTCTTGTTCGTGGGGAAGAGTGGGTATTGATTTTAAAAGTCTAAAGAATGGGGTATTGTGAATAGTGCCGCAATAAACATACGTGTGCATGTGTCTTTATAGCAGCATGATTTATAATCCTTTGGGTATATACCCAGTAATGGGATGGCTGGGTCAAATGGTATTTCTAGTTCTAGATCCCTGAGGAATCGCCACACTGACTTCGACAATGGTTGAACTAGTTTACCGTCCCACCAACAGTATAAAAGTGTTCCTATTTCTCCACATCCTCTCCAGCACCTGTTGTTTCCTGGCTTTTTAATGATTGCCATTCTAACTGGTGTGAGATGGTATCTCATCGTGGTTTTGATTTGCATTTCTCTGATGGCCAGTGATGGTGAGCATTTTTTCATGTGTTTTTTGGCTGCATAAATGTCTTCTTTTGCGAAGTGTCTGTTCATGTCCTTCGCCCACTTTTTGATGGGGTTGTTTGTTTTTTTCTTGTAAATTTGTTTGAGTTCATTGTAGATTCTGGATATTAGCCCTTTGTCAGATGAGTAGGTTGCGAAAATTTTCTCCCATTCTGTAGGTTGCCTGTTCACTGTGATGGTAGTTTCTTTTGCTGTGCAGAAGCTCTTTAGTTTAATTAGATCCCATTTGTCAATTTTGGCTTTTGTTGCCATTGCTTTTGGTGTTTTAGACATGAAGTCCTTGCCCACGCCTGTGTCCTGAATGGTAATGCCTAGGTTTTCTTCTAGGGTTTTTATGGTTTTAGGTCTAACGTTTAAGTCTTTAATCCATCTTGAATTAATTTTTGTATAAGGTGTAAGGAAGGGATCCAGTTTCAGCTTTCTCCATATGGCTAGCCAGTTTTCCCAGCACCATTTATTAAATAGGGAATCCTTTCCCCATTGCTTATTTTTCTCAGGTTTGTCAAAGATGAGATAGTTGTAGATATGCGGCGTTATTTCTGAGGGCTCTGTTCTGTCCCATTGATCTATATCTCTGTTTTGGTACCAGTACCGTGCTGTTTTGGTTACTGTAGCCTTGTAGTATAGTTTGAAGTCAGGTAGCGTGATGCCTCCAGCTTTGTTCTTTTGGCTTAGGATTGACTTGGCAACGCGGGCTCTTTTTTGGTTCCATACGAACTTTAAAGTAGTTATTTCCAATTCTGTGAAGAAAGTCATTGGTAGCTTGATGGGGATGGCATTGGATCTATAAATTACCTTGGGCAGCAAAGACTTGGAACCAATCCAAATGTCCAACAGTGATAGACTGGATTAAGAAAATGTGGCACATATACACCATGCAATACTATGCAGCCATAAAAAATGATGAGTTCATGTCCTTTGTAGGGACATGGATGAAATTGGAAATCATCATTCTCAGTAAACTATCGCAAGGACAAAAAACCAAACACCGGATGTTCTCACTCATAGGTGGGAATTGAACAATGAGAACACATGGACACAGGAAGGGGAACATCACACTCTGGGGACTGTTATGGGGTGGGGGGAGGGGGGAGGGATAGCACTCGGAGATATACCTAATGCTAGATGACGAGTTAGTGGGTGCAGCACACCAGCATGGCACATGTATACATATGTAACTAACCTGCACATTGTGCACATGTACCCTAAAACTTAAAAGTATATTAAAAAAAAAGGGGGGTATACACACAATCAGGTGTCAAGCAGTGGCACCTCGTGCAAAATAATAAACTCATCTAAGATCCTAGCAGTTCATTCTGAAAATAAAGCTGGAAATATATCTTGGATATGTAAAATGTGAGTGTAAAAATTAATGAAACTAAGCAATGGGAATATGAGTAGTAAATTATTTGAGAAAATATTATAACATTTACTTTTTTAAATTTCAAAACTATATTTCCTTATTTAAAACTGAAAATTTTTGTGTACATATATGAAACTAATTGTGTCATTTTTCTTTTTGTTACAATATAGAGTGATGTTTCAAAACACAAACATAATAGGTAGAGTCAATTACTTAGGGGAGTCTAAACCTGGAGGTAACATTAGAAATAGAAATAATAAAATGCAGTGTTTTTGGATTTGTCTGTTAAGATTATTTTAATCCAAATCATATTTAATGGTTTACATAGTTGTATATCAAATTTGGTTTTAGAAATAAATTATACAGTAAATTTAAAAATGCAAAAAATGTATATTGTTATACATTCTGTAACCTATGAATCCATATAACTTGGGCAAGAAAATTATATAATTAAAAATAAAACCTTTCTGTTCTCAATTATGTTTTAGGGACAGCTATATAGTTCACACTCACAAAGGAATCATAAAAACTCTATGTATAATCTTGGAAGTAAAAATATCTGTTGTATCATATTTATGAAGTATACAATTGATTAAAAATGATAATGTCTGTCTTCTATCCAACGGCAATAACAGAAGATAATGGCATATAAGTAGGCCTGTCTCCTTTTTTTTGGCATTGATTTATATATCTTTACTAGCTTTGTTGTTTTAACTCCAATAAAAGATTATTTAGTAAGCCAAAGCAAAAAAAAAAAAAAAATCCTGTGAGCAGCCACAAACTGAAAGACTACGATTTTTAGTCAATGTCCTAAGCAACACAGTAATTTTAGGTTAACCAATGTGTCAAAGAGAATGAGGAAAAATTATTACAAAAATGAATAAATAAACTGGTCTAGGTCAAACCGTACTCCTTCTAAAGAGAGTAGTCAACTGATATTAAAGCCTATGACGTAGTATGTGCCATATTGAGTATGCAATATCTAAATATTTCTTTTTTTTCTTTCTCCAGCTACTGCAAACCCTAATTGTTTCCTTATCCGATCACTTTAAAGTCATTCAGCAAATCATAATTATGCCATTGTTAACATCAGAAACTGAAAACCTACTGTCAAAAGTGAGCTAAAATATCATATTTGGATTTATTTATAAATTTATTTTATAAAAAGATTGACTTTCAATTTGAGAATAACATAAAAAATCAATTCATTCCTCTGTGCATCAATATTGTATCATTGGTAGTTTAAACTTTTCATCTAATATTAGATTGCATGCAGGATTTTATATCTAATTACTCTGGCAGATGGCCTTTAGAAAGTTCAAAAATAAAATGCAGCAATTCATATTGGCAGATTTACTATTGAGACCAATGCTTTCTTAACTAACAGGTTTTGTTTAAAATCGTTAGTTTAGGAAATCTGATAAAGAGTTTTGAATATCAGAGCGTTTAAAAGAGATTCTTACTTTACATCTGGCATATTTCTTGTGTTACATATTATAATTTCATTGAACATGGCTGTCTGTAAAACTATGTATATGATCCGGAAGAGACTCAAACTAAATTAAGTTTTAACAGCCATCAATTCATTTTAAAATGACACAGGCATGAAAAATGATCTATCAAGATTTGTAAATCTTATTCTGTTAGCTATTGCTAGAGATAGTCTAAAGGTATTCTACTTGGAATTTGAGATCAAGACAAAGATTTTCTGTTAGTAATAATATTCAGATTATTTTTATTTTGATGTATAAATTTAAAATTCTTAGAATATTTTCAACAATATTTTCCATTTCTAAATTTATTTTATTTCTAAACAAATGTAATTACTTTATTTATTAACTTTTATTTTCAGTTCAGGGGTATATGTGCAGGTTTGTTATATAGGTAAACCTATAGGTAAATAGGTATACAGATTATTTTGTCACCCAGGCATTAAGCCTATGCGCGTTAGTGAAAAATGTTATTGCTTTAAATATCCAAATTATTCAGCTGCATTTGATCTCATTCTTTAGTCCAATGTAAGTAAGAGTAAAACAATGACATTTAAGGCCACCAGGCTATTCTCATTTTTGGAAAAATGCTGGATTACATTACCAGCATATTAAATGAGAATATCAAGGTGTAATATCTCCCTAGAAATTGTCTCACCTTCAATACTATTGACATTTTTGGACCTGATAATTTTGTTGTGGGCTCTAGCCTCATGTTATAGGAGGTTTACCAGTTTTCCTGCCCTAAACTTACCGGATGTGAATAGCACACTCCACTACCTACAGCAGTAAAAACTAAAATTGTCTCTAAACATTGACAAATTGTCCCTGGTAGTGAAAATCACCCCTGGTTGAGACCGTGTTGTTGAAAATAAAACAAAAACTTTCACATCAATAAATATGTTAGGCTGTGTATGTTAAGGATTAACATTAAGACAATATGGAGCAAGCACTACATGAAAGCAGTGACGATTGGGAATTAGTGGCACATTATCCTAATAGTTAATATAGTGACTGTAATATCTAAATATCATCCTATAGAGTTTTTCTTAGATTTTTTCATTAGTATAACAGGATGTTGTGTATGTTACACTGTATATACTGTTATTTTGAGAGACAATTTTGGGAGATTTTGCCAAGGTATTTTCAATTATAGGTCTTTAATACATTCTAAGCAAGTGGGTCTCAAAAATGGGAATTTTACACCCCACATTCTTCTTCCCATCCGGTGGACATTTGTCAATGTGCGCAGATATTTCTGATTAAAAAAAAAAAAAAAACTGTGAAAGAGAGGGTGTGCTACTGGCATCTGGTGGTCGAGGCTAGGGATGTTGCTAATCATCTTACAATGTACACGATAGTTCCCCACAATGACTTTGAGAAACCCTGCTCTGACACTACTGCAGGATGAATTTTAAGCACAATTATAAGAGAGGACCTAGATATTGAGTTTTAAAAGGAGAAAATATAAGTACAAAAGAAGAGTGAAGATTGTTACAACAGGGGCAAGTAGAAGTTAGAAGAAAATGTGATAAAGTAAATCTACATTTTAGAATAGTACTGGAAGTTATTATCAGGTGTTACAGACAAGTTTGAGACTTCCGTAAGTGACCTAAAGAAATTATGGACACTGCAAGACTAAATAATCATTCATTTAGGAAGGAGCTTAAATGCACTTTCTCAAGGCCGGGCGAGGTGGCTCACGCCTGTAATCCCAGCACTTTGGGAGGCCAAGGTGGGCAGATCACGAGGTCAGGTGATCGAGACCATCGTGGGTAACACGGTGAAACCCCGTCTCTACTAAAAAATACAAAAAAAAATTAGCCGGGCACGGTGGCGGGCGCCTTAGTCCCATCTACTCGGGAGGCTGAGGCAGGAGAATGGCGTGAACCCGGGAGGCGGAGTTTGCAGTAAGCCGAGATCCCGCCACTGCACTCCAGCCAGGGTGACTGAGTGAGACTCTGTCTCAAAAAAAAAAAAAAAAAACTTTCTCAAGCATGCTAAGTCACAAAATTTGAGTTATCCTGAGCTTTTTTTACTTTAAGCTATCAAGCCATTGTTTGGAATCTTCAGAACCTCTTTAGAGTTTGGGATTTAAGAGTCAGTAGGTAGATAGTGAGCTTAAGATGCCAAACACAACATATAAAGCTATAAAAATCCATATGATCTTGAAAGATTAAATGGAAGCCCAGCACAAAACAATTGCTGAGTATATTATTTACATTATCTGAAAGTATGCCAAACAGACACTTTATATGTTAATAAAGATATGAGAAAGAAAATTCCAAAGAGTTTCTAAAAAGTGAACAACCACAAAATTTCAATAGCTTGCAACAAACATTTTCTTCTCACTCATGTTACCTGATGGAAAATCAAATGGCTGCCTGGAGACAGCATGGAGGGAGAGACTGATTACTGAGGTGCACAAGAAAACTTTTCATAATGATGGTTGTGAATGTAGTGATATTTCCAAAAGTATATACATATATATATATATATATCTATCTCAAATTTGACCACATCACACATTTCAAGTATACTGAATTGACTGTGCATCTCTTATTATACCCCAGGAAAGTTGAAGATATGACAATGAAAAAAAAATTCTTCCACCGACTACCCATCAATTTTCTTCTCATTAGCCTCACAGATTTCACAGTTAATTAAAGGGAAGATGCAAATATGTTCAAACTGTACATATTCTGAGGCCCATACCTTGCCATTAGCTCAATAAAGAGAGACATTGTCCCTGGCATGAAAATGAAAAACTTGCACACTCCCTATGTGGCTTCTGGACACTCTTAAGACATGAACACACTTTGGGGGCTCACCCTGTCAGGCTTTGCTCTCCGAGCTTAGATGAGAAAAACACAAAAATAAAACCAAAAGGTGACATTTAGGTGCCCATCAAGAAAGATGTGTTGGGAACTGGACAGGTCAGGGCTTTAAGTACTGTATCTTACTGTATGTTTAAGTACTGTATGTTACTGTGGAAACTTACCCATTTTCCCCTCAGAACAACTCTGTCTCAGGAGGTGAGTCTGAGAGCTACTGTTTCTTTGTAAAGGTTTTATCTGATCAGGCCCACGGTCACCACGTCAGCCCCACTGCCCCTAAATAGTTTGAATCTTGATGTTTTGATTTCAAAGACTTCTGATTCTAGCTACATAGCTTTGTCCATTTCCCACCTTACCACTATTTACTTTGAATTTTGTTGCATGCCGAGACCAGTGACTGCCACAAATGTGACTGTTCCTAGAATCTGCTTTCTGCTCTGATCTTTAGTCAGTGTGCAGACTCTAACATAAACTCCTTTCTATCGTATTTTCTTGAGTCCAAGAGCCCATAGATTGTATAATGCACTATTTTATGTCCCGTTAAGCAAGTAATTCGCATTGTGGCTAATTAAACTAAGACATACCACTGAATTGTAAAATGCATTATATTTTCAGGAGATATTAAAATATGAAATGTATAGGTCTTGGAATAGATGAATTGTGACAGTATCTTTGGAAAGCTAATTCAGTTGCAGTATTGCTTAAGATGTCTTTAAGAGCTGACTTCCTTTAGTTGGAATACATATGTAAATTATTTGCAGAGGAGATTTACCTCTTTTATCTCATTCATTTGTTTATTCAGTCATTTATTGATATCAATATGGACTAAGGAAAATTACATTTTTGGGTATAATCCAAATATACTACCAATTAATGTATTGTGTTGCTAAAATTATTCTAGAAATTGAAAGACCTTTCACTTGGCCCCTGTGCTTGTTTGACATATCTCACGAATAGATTTTTGTTAGTATTTTCATAATTTCTGGCACTAGAGGATGTCCCAGGCTCATCTTGTGTATTTTCTTCCCCATTCTTAGAATCAGCCACTTTCAAAGACGCCCTGCTTTCTATATATGAAATCAATATTTAAGTGCTAGCTGTGCCTGTAGCTAAGGGAGTATCAATTTTTTCATAGCTCTCTAAGATGAGAGAGCAAAGAAACAATGTGTATATTCTTACACATATCTTTAAATATTTCTATATGTAAACATCTATATTAGTCCATTATCCCATTGTTATAAAGAACTACCTGATCCTAGGTAATTTATAAAGAAAAGAGCTTTAATTGCCTCACAGTTGCACAGGCTGTACAGGAAGCAAGGATGGGGAAGCCTCAGAAAACGTACAGTCATAGCAGAAGGCAAAGAGGAAGCAGGCACATCTTACATGGCTGGAGAAGGAGGAAGAGAACTAAGGGGGAGATGCTACACACTTTTAAACAACCAGATTGTGTGAGAACTAAGTCATTATCACAAGAACAGCAAGGAGGAAATCTGCCCCCATAATCCAATCCCCTCCCACTAGACCCCTCCTTCAACACTGGCGATTACAATTGGACGAGAGGTTTGAGAGGGGACAAAATGTAAACCATATCACCATCTATGTCTGTATTAAGCTAAACATGGGTTCTTACTGATGTCACTACCTCTAACCTAGTCCCGCAAGCATCAATGCCTTCCTGTATCTCTAAACCCCCACTCCAACAATAAAAATCCTGACTCTTACTTTGTGACATCTATTTAGTTAATTGTTCACTTCCAGTATATGTATATAGCTGTACCAGAATTGATAACCTGCCCTTAGTAGAAGAACATCTTTATCAACTAAATTAAGTGCCTTCGTACAAGTTTCTTTTGCCTTTCATCTTAAGAGACTGCACTCATTTTCAATATCACTTTGACTAGCACCCTTTCCCTTAAGTCCCTCACTGAAGTTATTTTGTATGGTTCATAATAGAGCTAGATAAATTTGTAACAGTCTGCATTCCATCCTGAGATTCTACAACCTTTTAATTAATTTTTAATTAAAAATATAACTTTTATTTTGGTAAATATTAGCACTTCTGTGCCACACTACTATATATAAATATCAAAAAAAGGTCCAGAAAGCTATAGAAAATTTGAGTAAAGTGCTGAATGTTGAACCTAACAATAACTGGGCTAAAGTAAGTACAGAAGGCAATTTTTTATTTATGTAAATTTATGGGATACAAATATAATCTTATTACCTCCATAAAGTACATAGTGTTGAAGTAAGGGTTTTAGAATATACATCACCTGAAAAATGTACATTGTACTCATTACATAATTTCTCATCATCCCCTCCTCCCACCCTCCTGAAATTTCCAAGTCTCTGTTGTCTATCATTCCACATTCTATGTCCATGTGTATACATTATTTAGCTTCCAGTTATAAGTGAGAACATGCAGTATTTGTCTTTCTGTGTCTGATTTGTTTCACTTAAAATAATGACCAGTTACATCCATGTTGTTACAAAAGACATGATTTTATTCTTTTGTATAGCTGAATAGTATTCTATAGCGCATATGTGCCAGATTTATTAATGTAATCATCCACTGAGGGACACATTGCTATTGTGAATAGTGCTGTGATAAACATATGGGTGCAGATACCTTTTTCATACAATTATCTGTTCTCCTTTGGGTAGATCTCCAGTAGTGGGATTGTTGGGTGAAATTGCGGTTTTATTAAGAATGTATATTCTGTAGTTGCTGGGTAGTATTTTCTGTAAATGTCAGTTAGGTCTATTTCATCTAAGGTTGAATTTAAGTCTTAGGTTTATTTGTTTTCTGTCTTGATGATAACATTTAATGCTGTGAGTGAGATGGTAAAGTCCCCCAGTATTATCGTATTGCTGTCTATTCCTTTTTTATGTCTAGTAATATTTATTTGATGAATCTTGGTGGTCTAGTGTTGGATGCATATGTGTTTAGAATTGTTATATCCTCTTGCTGAATTGATCCCTTTATCATTATGTAATGACTTCCTTTGTCATTGTTATACTGTTTTAGATTTAAGTTCTGTTTTACTTGATATAAGTATAGCTATTCCTGCTTGCTTTTAGTCTCCGTTACATGGAGTATCTTTTTTCACCCATTTACTTTAAATCTGTATGTGTCTTTACTTTTCAGTCTGTATGTGTCTATATGTTTCTTGTAAGCATAATATTTTTGGATCATTTTTTAGTTCGTTCCATCAATCTACCTTTCTTTTTTTTTTTTTTACTTTTAGATGGAGTTTCACTCTGTCATCCAGAGTGGAGTGCAGTGGCGCAATCTTGGCTCACTGCAAACTCCGTCTTGCAGGTTCAAGCGATTCTCCTGCTTCAGCCTCCCAAGTAGATGGGATTACAGGTGCCGGCCACCACGCCTGGCTAATTTTTGTATTTTTAATGGAGATAGGGTTTCACTATGTTGGCCAGCCTGGCCTCGAACTCCTGACCTCGTGATCCACCCACCTCGGCCTCCCAAAGTGCTGGGATTACAGGTGTGAGCAACTGCACCTGGCCCAATATCTATCAATCTATATATTTTAAGTGGAATGTTTAATTCATTTACATTCAAGGTTAATGTTAATACATGAGGTTTTCTTTCTGCCATATTGCTGTTTGTTTTCTACTTGTTTTATAAGTTCCTTGGGGTTATTTTGTTGTTGTTTTTTGTTTTTCTTTCTGTGTGTCTCTTTGTCTTCATGGTTTGGTGGAAATCTGTTGTGTTGCTATTTGATTGCTCGTCCTACTTTGTGTGACTGTTTTACAAGACCTATGAGTTTGCTACTTTCATGTGTTTTGATGATGATGATGAATGTTGACCTTTCATTTTTGTGTTTGGGACACCTTTGAGTATTTCTCATAGGACTCGTTTGGTGGTGACGAATTCCCTCAGTGTGTGCTTGTCTGGAAAATACTTTGAATCATTTCAAGAAAATTAGCAGTGAGTTATGTCAATCAAGCCATTGGTTTGTATTTGGTGGCACATTTACTCTGTATTATTTCACACTAGAACCATCTGAGTTAAGTTTTATTATTTGCTATATGTTGCAGATGAAGAAACTGAAGCTGAGAGAGGTTTAGTGAATGACTAAAAAGGTTGTCAGGCTGCAGGGAAAAAAACAAAACAAAACTGTACGACTAGCCTGCAATGCTTCCCAAAGTATGTAGCTTATTATTATTGGTCACTTTTTGAGTACAAAATGCTGTGCTATGTAACAGAATAATACAATGTACATATACATATCAATTAACATAAGCATAACTGTAATCACATATACTGATAAATAAAAATATAAAGTAATATATGGTAATGACCCAACCATTTGCCTAAGTTTCATGTATTACAGAAGTTTTGAGGAGGGACTTCAGCTGTATGCAAATCAGCAATTCGGGTTGTACAGTTGATTACCCATTAGTTCAGAATTTTAATAATTTAAAATGTATTTATTAAGAACCTAACAATTGGAAGACCTTACAATAGGTGGGAAAATTCGACAGATGAATAATGCTTAGGAGATATCAGCATGTTTTGGAAGGATATTCCCATGAAGAGAAAAAGTATCGTGGGAAGTGTGGGAAGTGTTATGGTGCGAGAGTAATACAGGTTCCAGCATGTGTTTACATTATTTTGTTGGAGGTGTTGGGGAACCTTTCATGGAAGGTGTGTGGTAGACTGTTGGACAGGTTTCCTCAACTTTCGTTCCACTCTTTGAAGAGGTTAGAAAACTAAAACAAAACAAAACAAGCAATGCAGCTTCCCTTGAGCTAGCTTTATGAATGCAGCTTAGACCACTTACCGATTGTTTGCATATGAATCAGACTTAGAAAAATGGAAGAGATCAAAGCCTGTCTTGCTATTGTTGATTCTGGCAAGTGAAATCATGGGGACAATAGTTCAGAAGTAGTGGAAGTGGTAGGATTCAATATCCTTGTGCCTAATCCCCAGTTTCATGGGCATAAGAGGCTTAAAGTTTTAATAGCAGGAGCATCTTTTTGACCCAGGATTGCAGAAATGATTGCGTGCCTTTGAATTCAAGAACTCAAAACCTTCCTCCATGCCACAGCTACTTTAGTTATTTTAGCCCTTCCTATTGTATATGTATGAAATGCACTTTCTGCTTAAGATACCTATTGCGGTTTTTATTTCCTTATTAAAACCTTGGAAAAATATAGCACTTAAATTATGTTTTGTAGAAATTCACTAAGCAAATAAAGCTAAAGGGGGAGAGAGTTAACCTTCTCTGCCCCCTTTTTATCAGAAGTTAGTTGTAGAAGAAATACACAATTTTTGCGCAATTTTAGCACCATCTAAGTTCTGTAGGTCTGGAACACAGACTGGTTAAATGAGCATTTCAGGAGCACTATAGTTGCAAAGTTAAGCAGTCACCACAATTTTATGTGTCATACAAAGATTTTTAACTTTATGTTTAAGCAACGAGCCTAGAAGCAAATGGTATTTCCATCAAGAATCGTCTCATATAAAGTAGAGCGTTTTGGAAAATGAAGTTATTAATAGATAAAAACATGTTTATGCAGTTGGTTTCTAAGTATGACAAACCTATTTCTTGGTAAATTGCAAGTCCATTCCACCTGTGTTTGTAGGCTCATTTGCCTAAAAGTCTTGGGATTTTTTCTGATGATCTATTAAATTTTCTTTCTGATTATCTTTTCTAATGCTGTAATAGCATTTCTAACACTGTAATGAAAGAGAACAAAAGTACACGCTTGCTCATCATTTACTAATTCTAAAAATATATATTGAATACATCTATGTAGCAGGTACTGTGGTAGGTGTGGAAGATAGTTGAGACAGGTAACAAGCCCAACATTACGGAGCTTAGCATCACCACCTAGAAGAGTTTTTAAAAAACATAGATAAGTGAATAATGATTATAAAGACAAAGAGATTCTTGCCATATAATTACATATAAGCAAATTTAGGATGTGATGAAAGATTTTGATATTGGTCTTCTGATTTGGCTGTAGGATGAAGTGTTTATAAGTCATCCCAAGGAAGAAACAATTCAGATGAGAACTATTCAATGGATTTGCAATAACAATCCAAAGATGGAAGAAGACACTTCTAGGTAGACAAAATTGCAAGTATAGAGAATGTAAATTAAGAGAGAGCTTAGCTTTCAGATGAATTAAAAGATTGTGGTGATCAGAATGTAGAGATTGACGAGAGACAAATGAAATAAAACTAGAAGGACAAGTAGAGATTTGTGGGTCAAGTTTTAAAATTTTATTATAAATGCACTGATACTGTTCTGAACATTTTCTTACACATGGAAATTTAATGATTATGGCTATTGAAAAATGTAACTCTTCATTTATATTTTTCCGAGAATGAAATCGGTGGAATTGCTGGGGGGTGAAAATGTCCAATGCGAAACAGGAGGCTAATTTAAGAAGGGATACTGCAAAATTGGTCATGATGGCTCAAACTGCTGTTCATAATAGAGAGAAGAAAATGGATAGAGTTACATATGGATGAGAGTAAATTGACAAGGCTAAATGCTAAAACGTGGGTAGTGACAGAAAGTAGGTGTCAAAATAGACTTCCAGGAAAAGAAAAAATGGGTCTACAAAAGAGCCAAATGCTGATGTGGGTTACATGATCCTGAGCAGATGCAGATGTAATTGGTTAAGTAAAGTAAGTTCTTAAGATAGATTTGGCCTGGCGCTATACATTCTAGAGCCCCTGAATATAAGTGGGATATAAAACCATGGGAATGACTGTATTTGTCTAAGGAGAGAATTTGGCAGAAGAAAAGGAGACATAAGATGAAATGCAGAGGAAATTCAAATTTAATTGGCAGGTGTAGGAAGACAAGGAGATGACAAAAGGAACTGGAAATGAGTAATCAGAGACAGAAAAGTAAAAGTAAGAGTAGAATGTCATGGAAGGCAAATAATTGGAATGTTTCAAGAACAGGGAAATGGGCAATAAAGAGAAGAAAAAAATAGTGACCAGAGGGTATAGTAATGTGTAGAAATTCATCCTGTGTTAGGTTTGATTGCTTAGACGTTTTATATAAAAATCTTTCCCAGAGAGTAATAAAACAGAAGTGAGGTTAGAGAAAGAACATACGATTTAGCCAAAAGGTGGGAAAAGTTAGGAAATGAAGAATAAATATGTTTAAAGATAATGTTATGGCTACTCAATGTACAACCTCTTTTCTTTCATTATTTTTAATTGTCATATTTAAAAATAGTAATTACCACTTTTAAAAATTGTCTTATTATTTGTTACATAAGAAAATGCATTAATTCAAGCCACATAGTATCATTTATATTATGACTGTCGAAACATTACTAGAATTACTAGAACTATTAACCTAATGGCCTGAAAATTTCAACTCACTTCCCTAGCTGTCCTGATGATCATTAGTGAAAGGAAAGACTCCATTAAATAATGCTTACTTATAGAGAACTGGTTATATCTGTCTCATTTCCATACATATATCTGTATAAATTAATTTGATTAATAAAACAAACACAAGGCACAAACAACAAAACACAGTTTATAAATGTCATTGAAAAATGCATGCCTGTACAATTTGGGTATTTGTAATTGTAAATTGATATACTTCATTTTTTATCCAGGAGTTACTTAGATTGAAACTTTACCTAATGTATGATAAAATAATACGTGATTAAATTTAAAAACATGATGAATTTATTTAAAATTGGCTTCAATAATGTCAGAAAGTAATAAAATAAAATGATTCCTTCAAAGACTGCACCTGTTTATTGCCTGAGATTATCTCTCTTGGCCACAAATCAATATTACTTTCTTTCATTCATCAGTGATAAAGCTTTTCAATAATTCTAATTTTAAAGGATGATTACAGCAAGTATATAGTCATTGATTGCTTAAAGGTTGCAGCTAAAATGAACACAATGGTCATTTTATTTTTAATAAATGAGCCCTTTTGAAAAGTCAAGCATTTTTCCTCTCACAAAACTTTGTGTAATAAGATTATAGATTTGATCATGTATGAGTTTGCACTGTGTGTGTGTATATATGTGTGTGATTTCAGCGATAAAGTTCACTGTTCCACAGCTGGCAATTTCTTCTGCTTAATTGAAAATTCCGTTTTAAAATATTTCTTTAAAGTTCTAAAATGGGTTTAAATGGGTTCATGAGCTGTAATACTATTAAAAATATATATATATCTACATATTTGTTGATTCTTCTCAGTTTAAGAAGTGGAGCTTCATACTCCTCCCCTTGAAGGCAGGCTAAGCTGAGTGACTCCCATCTAAGAAATAAAACACCGCAGGATTGGAATGTTACCTTGTGAGACAAGGTCACAAAGGCTAGGGTTTTAATTTTGAGTGAACTAATTTGCTCCTTACTGGTGTTTCTCTCTCTTTCTCTCCTTCAACTCTTTACGAGCCCAGCCACCATGCAAATAATTCCAAACTATCTTTTCTAGAAAGCTCACATGAAGAACCAAGGCATCCTATCTGATATCCAGCCAAATGATTAAACATTCTAGAAGCAGACTATGATGCACTGAATTTGTGAAATCCTAACCCCCAGTGTAATGATAGTAGGAGGTGGAGCTTTTGGTAGATGATAGTCTGTCTTCATGTTGGGGATTAGTGCCTTGATTATTATTTTTTGTTTTTATTTTTATTTTTATTTATTTATTTATTTATTTTTGAGACAGAGTTTTGCTCTGTTACCCAGGCTGGAGTGCAGTGGTGCCATGTCAGCTCACTGCAACGTCTGCCTCCTGGGTTCAAGTGTTTCTTCTGCCTCAGCCTCCTGAGTAGCTGAGTAGCTGAGACTACAGGTACGCACCACCACACCTGGCTAATTTTTGTATTTTTAGTAGAGACGGGGTTTCACCATACTGGCCAGGCTGGTCTGGAACTCCTGACCTCGTGATCTGCCTGCCTCAGCCTCCCAAAGTACTGGGATTACAGATGTGAGCCACCGTGCCCAGCCGGGGATTAGTGCCCTTATAAAAGAGACCCCAAAAAGCGTCCTTGCCCCTTCTGCCATGTGAGCTAGAGGACAGTAATCTATGAACTAAAAAATGGGCTCTGACCAGACACCAAATCTGCAAGCACCTTGATTTTGCACCATCCAGCCTCCGGTACCATTAGAAACGTTTCTGTTGTTTATAAGCTACCCTGTCTATGGTATTCTGTAGCGACAGTGCAAACAAACTAAGACACGGACCTTCCAACACAAGTTAAAGGCTTCAGGGGATGCTGCCTGGGTCAACAACATGACAGCAACCTTTACTCATGAGAGACTTCGAGTCAGAACCACCTACCCAAATCCATCATTTCCCTGACTTCTATGAATTGTGTCATACATATTTGTTATTTTAAGCCATTAAGTTTTAGGGTAATTTTTAAATGGAAAAATACATGATCATAGGTAAACTATAATTAATAGAAAAATCTAATGCCAATAATATTTACCATTGATTGACCGTCAAAACTCCATTAATTATTTGCTTTCCATTTATATTTATTTTTGGATTTCTTTTTTAAGAGAATGGCACCTGTGACAGCATACTGTTACTATTACCCTTTTATCGTACTTTACCATGCCATCTCTGAAGAATATTACAGACCATTTTGGAGCATGGTGAATAAGAAATTTTCACCTTAGGAGTTCAGTTGAATAGTCATTTTTATATTTGTGACTGCAAGTCACTCTTAGGGGCTGTACTTCCTTAGTACTGGTAGCATTATTATCCAATGGACTTTTATAGCTTTCATTAGGTTTTCTTTTGTTTTTGTTCTTTAAAGAACGTTTTACTTATCTTAGTATTTCATTTTTCATCTATATTATGAGGCAGTAAGAGTCTTCTGTTTTTCCAAAGTTGAGACTGCTTTATATTTATTTCGTATTGTCTACAGCTGTAGTGTTCAATACATTAGCCACTAGCCACATGTGGTTATTTAAATAAGATAAAATAAAAATTGGCCGGGCGTGGTGGCTCACGCCGGTAATCCCAGCACTTTGGGAGGCCGAGGCGGGCAGATCATTAGGTCAGGAGATCGAGACCATCCTTACTAAGACGGTGAACCCCCATCTCTATTAAAAATACAAAAAATTAGCCGGGCGTGGTGGCGGGCGCCTGCAGTCCCAGCTACTCAGGAGGCTGAGGCAGGAGAATGGCGTGAACCTGGGAGGCAGAGTTTGCAGTGAGCCGAGATGGCGCCACTGCACTCCAGCCTGGGGGACAGAGCGAGACTCCATCTCAAAAAAAAAAAGAAAATTAAAAATTAAGTTCTTTAGTTGCACTAGCCATATTTCAAATACTTGATGGATACATGTGGCTAGTGGCTAACATAAGGGATAGCACAGATATAAAACATTTGCTCGTCATATAAAGTTCTATTGGATAGTGCTGGTCTGTAGCTTATAGGATGGTATCTTAGTCTGCTTCAGCTGCTAAAACAGAATACCATAAATTAGGTAGCTTAAACAGTAGATATTTTGACCAGGCGTGGTGGCTTATGCCTGTATTCCTAACACTTTGGGAGGCCGAGGCAGGTGGATAACTTGAGCTCAGGAGTTTGAGACTAGCCTGGGCAGCATGGCAAAACCTTGTCTCTACGAAAATCAGCTGGGCATGGTGGTGCACGCCTGTAGTCTGAGCTACTTGGGAGGCTGAGGTGGGAGAATTGCTTGAACCTGGGAGGCGGAGGTTGCAGTGAGCCATGATCGCACCACTGTACTCCAGCCTGGATGACAGAATGAGACTCTGTCTCAAAAAAAACAAAAACAAACAAACAAAAAAACAGATATTTCTCACAGTTCTGGAGACTGGAAGTGCAAGATCAAAGTGTTGGCAAATTGTGTTTATTAAAGAGGGCCTGCTTCCTAGATTGGAAATGGCCATCTTCTCTCGGTATCCTCACATGGTAGGGAGAAAAGCAGCTCTAGTGTCTCTTCTTATAAAGGAAGTAATGCCACCATAGGGGCTCTATTCTCATGACCTCATCTAAACCTAATTCTCTCCTAAAGGCCACGCCTCCCAGTATCCTCACCTTGGGGGTTAGGGCTTTATCATATGAATTTTTTTTTTTTTTTTTTTTTTTTTTTTTTTTGAGACAGAGTCTCGCTCTGTCTGTCACCCAGGCTGGAGTGCAGTGGCACAATCTCGGCTCTCTACAAGCTCCGCCTCCTGGGTTCACGCCGTTCTCCTGCGTCAGCCTCCTCAGTAGCTGGGACTAAGGCGCCCGCCACTGCGCCCGGCTAATTTTTTGTATTTTCAGTAGAGACGGGGTTTTACCATGTTAGCCAGGATGATCTCGATCTCCTGACCTCATGATCCACCCGCCTCGGCCTCCCAAAGTGCTGGGATTACAGGCATGAGCCACCGCGCCCGGCCTATCATATGAATTTTGAGGGAACACAAACATGCAGTCTGTAGCAGATGGTAATAGGCTGACATATTACACTTGTTGATGTAAATCTGATAGGTTTCTTTCTCTCCAAGGACAGCTTTTTAAATATTTAACAGTATCAATAATTTTTCAGGTTCTGTGAGAATTTTATAATTTATAATTTGCAGACTTAACGTATAATCTATTTTGTCCTAACAATTACAAATATATTTTTTATTTCAGATTGTATATATTCCTACCAGATGGAGATAATTACAGCTTTAAAAATTTTTATTTTTTCATTTTATTTCACACATTGACATTAAATTTTTATGGACACATAATAACTGTACATATATATGGGGTAGAATGTGATGTTTTAATACATGTACTCAATGTGTAATGATCAAATCAGGGTAATTTGCATAATGATTTTTCTGTAGGGAGAAAATTCAAAATCTACTCTTCTGGCTATTTTCAAATATATAATATGTTATTGTTAACTATACTCATCCTACTATGCAATAGGACACCAGAACTTATTCCTGGGTTCTACATCCGTTAAGGCAACCAAGGATTGGAAATATTGGAAAAAAAAATTGCGTCTGTACTGAACATGTACAGACTTTTTTCTTGTCCTTATTCCTTACACAATATAGTACAATAACTATTTGCATGACATTTACATCGGATATTATGAGTGATCTAGAGTTGATATGAAGTATATGGGAGGATGTGCAAAGGTGATGTGCAAATACTATGTCATTTTATATCAGGGACTTGAGTATCCTTTGTTACCCTCAGGAGATCCTGAAACCAGTCCCCCATGGATACTGAGGGCTGACTGTATAGTCCTATCCTCACGGAACTTTCATTCTAATGGGGGAAGACTGACTATAAACAAAATATATGTAATAGGTGGTGGTAAGTACCGTGGAGAAGTAACAAATGGGGCAAAGTGAGTTATACAGCTCCATTCTTAGAAACCTTGGAGTACTTTTCTTAGTTTATACTCGTGGTGGTTTCCTTTTGTCTCCTTTATTACATGGGACTCTGACATGTGCCCATAGCTAGGGTGACAGTAGGATCTACCCGATAGTAGGGTGGCAGTAGGATCTACCCAAAAAGCGTCCTGCTGATACAGGACCAAAGCATCCTGTTGTTCTCGAGCCTATAAAAAGAGCTAATGGTCTTGCTTCTCTTAACTGTGGCCTCCTACACTGTGTTTTGGATGATTGGTGATGTCTTGGATATTCTGTTTCTTTGGAACTTTGAATATACAACACTTTACTAGGGAATTAGCAATGGAAGCAGAGCAAAGATGTACAGAGGAAACAATGCGTAACTCTGATGGAATTGAAGTCATGAGGCAGCAGAGAGCTTAAATTACAGCTTTAAAAATTTTTATTTTTTAGAGGGAATTTACTTGGGAGTAACAGCAGTAATAGTTAACGGAGCCAGAATGCTTGAGTCATATAATTGCAAAGCAGAGTTGGGAGCAACAGATGCTAAAGAGTAGTTGCTGTAGTTCCTCTTTGGGTCGTAGGAGCAGTTGTCATATTACTATATAGCTACTGCATGAAGAAGAGTTCTTAGTGAGGCCTGGGTGAACAGCTCTTCTTAGTATTCTGTGTGACCCCATTTGACCTTTTAACAAATCCCTAAGTAAATAAATAGCCCCTCAGGAAAACTAAGTTTTTCTCTGCTGTTTTTTTGCTTGAGAGAGCTATAACTGTAATAGACTTATATTTCTGAACATTTTAGTGCTTGCCAATATTTGGTAATATTTATGTTTCCTATATTTGTAATGAACATTCTTCTTCTGGTACATTTTTTGTTAAATTATTGTTTGATGGATAAAAGTTCACCTTTTATTGTATAAAATTGACTGAGATTAATTTATACACATTGACAATGGGTAAATAGAATTTTTCAGATTATTAAAAGCTGAAGGATGCCCACGTAAGCAAAAAAAAAAAAAGAAAAAACCAACAAAAATAAACCCAAACCCCTCAAACAATTTCGAACACGAAACATTCTTCTGATGCCGGCATCCCTGCTTGCAGGTGTGAAGGGGGCAGGAATCAGCGAGGTGTCCTGGGCTGAGTCCCCGGAGTGGGAAGAGGTGGCAGGAAGGGGATCTGAGGAGGAGAACAGGGGTCCTGGTGGTCTGTGCTTCTTCCCAGACACGGGAGCTGTAGAGGAGACCTCTGCAGCAGATGCTAGGGGGGCCAGTAGGCCCAGGCAGTCTTGGGACTTGGGTCTGTCCTGCTGTGCATCCATAGTGGGTGCTTTAGAAACGGGAGGCCCACCCGAAGCCCCTGTTGCAAGTGAGGACAAAGTGTGGGAAGGCCGTGAGGGTCTGCAGTCCGAGATGGCCTTGTCCTCAACGTGCAGTGCACTGTTGATGCGGGGCCTAGAGGCCTGGGATCTGGGGGAGCCACCCCTGGGGGCGAGTGTCTGCCCTGGTGCTGTACCTGCCTTGTTTTCACAGCGGTGACCCGAAGAGACAGCCTGAGGTCCGTCCTCACTCACTGTGTTTGAGGAACTGTGGGCCAGCTGGCAGTGGGATGAGGCTGGCCCCCTCCTCCGCTTTACTTCCCGGAGGCCTTCCATAGAGCTGTGGGAGCTGGAGCTGGCATTTCGTTTGAGGCAGGATCTGGTCCGGGAGGTCTGGGATCTCTGGTTATATCTCACTTCTGACCTCTGGGCACGTGCTGCAGCTGTGGCTGAGGCCAAGAAATGTGAGGGGCCTCCATCCACTGCATTGAGTAGCGACCCCGACGTGGGGTTCAATGTGGAGGGGGGAAGGGCTGCTGCGGCAGCTGCAGGAGCCGAGGTGCCAGGCCTTGTTCTTCTCATGCCGGCATCCCTGCTTGCAGCTGTGAAGGTGGCAGGAATCAGCGAGGTGACCTGGGCTGAGTCCCGGGAGTGGGAAGAGGTGGCAGGAAGGGGATCTGAGGAGGAGAACAGGGGTCCTGGTGGTCTGTGCTTCTTCCCAGACACGGGAGCTGTAGAGGGGACCTCTGCAGCAGATGCTAGGGGGGCCACTAGGCCCAGGCAGTCTTGGGACTTGGGTCTGT
Organism: Homo sapiens; assembly: GCF_000001405.40. Lineage (NCBI taxonomy): Eukaryota > Metazoa > Chordata > Mammalia > Primates > Hominidae > Homo > Homo sapiens. The sequence goes on along the minus strand of NW_025791777.1, from coordinate 322,974 downwards.
CCTGCTGTGCGTCCATAGTGGGTGCTTTAGAAACGGGAGGCCCACCCGAAGCCCCTGTTGCAAGTGAGGACAAAGTGTGGGAAGGCCGTGAGGGTCTGCAGTTCGAGATGGCCTTGTCCTCAACGTACAGTGCACTGTTGATGTGGGGCCTAGAGGCCTGGGATCTGGGGGAGCCTCCCCTGGGGGCGAGTGTCTGCCCTGGTGCTGTACCTGCCTTGTTTTCACAGCGGTGACCCGAAGAGACAGCCTGAGGTCCGTCCTCACTCACTGTGTTTGAGGAACTGTGGGCCAGCTGGCAGTGGGATGAGGCTGGCCCCCTCCTCCGCTTTAGTTCCTGGAGGCCTTCCGTAGAGCTGTGGGAGCTGGAGCTGGAGCTGGCATTTCGTTTGAGGCAGGATCTGGTCCGGGAGGTCTGGGATCTCTGGTTATATCTCACTTCTGACCTCTGGGCACGTGCTGCAGCTGTGGCTGAGGCCAAGAAATGTGAGGGGCCTCCATCCACTGCATTGAGTAGTGACCCCGACGTGTTGTTCAATGTGGAGGGGGGAGGGGCTGCTGTGGCAGCTGCAGGAGCCGACCTTGTTCTTCTCATGCCGGCATCCCTGCTTGCAGCTGTGAAGGTGGCAGGAATCAGCGAGGTGACCTGTGCTGTGTCCCGGGAGTGGTAAGAGGTGGCAGGAAGGGGATCTGAGGAGGAGAACAGGGGTCCTGGTGGTCTGTGCTTCTTCCCAGACACGGGAGCTGTAGCGGGGACCTCTGCTGCAGATGCTAGGGGGGCCACTAGGCCCAGGCAGTCTTGGGACTTGGGTCTGTCCTGCTGTGCATCCATAGTGGGTGCTTTAGAAACGGGAGGCCCACCCGAAGCCCCTGTTGCAAGTGAGGACAAAGTGTGGGAAGGCCGTGAGGGTCTGCAGTCCGAGATGGCCTTGTCCTCAACGTGCAGTGCAGTGTTGATGTGGGGCCTAGAGGCCTGGGATCTGGGGGAGCCACCCCTGGGGGCAAGTGTCTGCCCTGGTGCTGTACCTGCCTTGTTTTCACAGCGGTGACCCGAAGAGACAGCCTGAGGTCCGTCCTCAGTCACTGTGTTTGAGGAACTGTGGGCCAGCTGGCAGTGGGATGAGGCTGGCCCCCTCCTCCGCTTTACTTCCTGGAGGCCTTCCGTAGAGCTGTGGGAGCTGGAGCTGGCATTTCGTTTGAGGCAGGATCTGGTCCGGGAGGTCTGGGATCTCTGGTTATATCTCACTTCTGACCTCTGGGCACGTGCTGCAGCTGTGGCTGAGGCCAAGAAATGTGAGGGGCCTCCATCCACTGCATTGAGTAGTGACCCCGACGTGGGGTTCAATGTGGAGGGGGGAGGGGCTGCTGCGGCAGCTGCAGGAGCCGACCTTGTTCTTCTCATGCCGGCATCCCTGCTTGCAGCTGTGAAGGGGGCAGGAATCATCGAGGTGACCTGGGCTGAGTCCCGGGAGTGGGAAGAGTTGGCAGGAAGGGGATCTGAGGAGGAGAACAGGGGTCCTGGTGGTCTGTGCTTCTTCCCAGACACGGGAGCTGTAGCGGGGACCTCTGCAGCAGATGCTAGGGGGGCCACTAGGCCCAGGCAGTCTTGGGACTTGGGTCTGTCCTGCTGTGCATCCATAGTGGGTGCTTTAGAAACGGGAGGCCCACCCGAAGCCCCTGTTGCAAGTGAGGACAAAGTGTGGGAAGGCCGTGAGGGTCTGCAGTCCGGGATGGCCTTGTCCTCAACGTGCAGTGCACTGTTGATGCGCTGGAATGCCGTCTCTTTTTCCAGGTGCAGGTCTTCAGCCGTGACCCGGTACCCCAGCTCTAAGGGAGGTGGCAGCATCAAAGGCTCCCCTCGCCTGCGTGGCAGCAGGGGAATCTTGCGTCTACGGGGCCTAGAGTCCTGGGATCTGGGGGAGCCACCCGTTGGGGCGATTGTCTGCCCTGGTGCTGTATCTGCCCCCTTTTCACACCGTGTGTGACCCGAAGAGACAGCCTGAGGCCTGTCCTCACTCACTGTCTTTGAGTAACTGAGGGTCAGCTGGCAGCGGGATGAGGCTGGCCCCCTCCTCTGCTTTAGCCCCGGCAAGCCTCCCGTGGAGCTGTAGGAGCTGGAGATGGCATTTCGTTTGGTGTTCGAGCTCGTCCAGGATGTCTGGGATGTGTGGTTATATCTGATTTCTGAGCTCTGGGCGTGGAGGTCTGTCTGCAGAGGCCCGGGCCTGGGCACAAAGGGAGAGGGGCCTCCATTGTCCCGCAGGGGCCAAAATGCAGACCGTGCATCCCCGGTGACCTCGGGGACCGTTCTCTGATCATCAGGATTTTCTTGGACTCTGGGGTCCTTGTCCTGCTCAGGCATCCCTGCCCCGCTCTCCTTGAGGGCCCTCAACACTATCTTCCCTGGACACAAGTCTGGGGACAGCCGGGTGTTGTGGACCCCAAAGGGGTGACTACCTGCTCCTGGGCCCCACAGAGTCCTTGTGCTCAGTGTAGTGGCTGAGCTGGGGGATGCCCTGGAACTCGGAGCACACAGCACTGGCTTACTGTGGTACCTGTGCAGTGAAATTGAAGACAGAATCACCAGGATGGAACACAGGTCTTGCAGGATCACGGAAAACCTTCTTAGAGTTGTCTTGACACCACTGATGTCGAGTGTGCGGGTGTTTGTAGGATGGCCTGCCACTCAGTCCAGGGGCAGGAGCAACGGGGAGATCCCACAAGCAAAGTGAACTGGGGGATGGGCTGAAGGGGCTCCAGGCAACTGAGCCCTACTCGCAGGTCCTCGGCCTTGGCCCAAACAGGAATGAGGGGCACAGAGTGCCCGGGTAACCGCTCCTGGGAGCAGTGGGGAACTGTCGGATACTTGAACTCTCAAGAGCTGGGCTCTGAGCGTCCTCGTCCAGCTGCCAACTTGGCCAAAGGCTAAGCCAGCAGATTGTTCTGTTGCCGGGCAACGCGACTTCTAAACCTGAGGGAGTGGGCATGTGAGCACATAATGGCACCAGTGACAGAGCGACCATAATGGATGAATAAGCGCAGCCAGGTACCCGCGCAAGGCACCTGCTGGCAATGGCAGGAGGCGGACGTGGGGGGTCGTGCAATAGGTACTGGAGGGAGAGACGTGGGCACAAAGGTCGCGGGAGGAACAGGTGCCCACAATGGCTGCATATTTGCCCGTGGATCACTGAAGATTCCTGCTCTCCTGCTGAGGTGGAGACTGCAGTGAGCTGAGATCGCACCATTGCACTCCAGCCTGGGCAACGAGTGCAAAACTCAGTCTCCAGATAAAAAAAAGAAAAAGAAAAAAAAGAGGCCGGGTGTGGTGGCTTATGCCTATGATCCTAGCACTTTGGGAGGTCGGGGTGGACGGATCACGAGATCAGGAGTTGGAGGCCAGCCTGGCCAACATAGTGAAAGCCCGTCTCTAGTAAAAATACAAAATTTAGTCAGACATGGTGGGCAGGAGAGAGCATGTGCAGGGGAACATCCATTTATAAAACCATCAGACCTCATGAGACTTATTCACTACCATGAGAACAGCATGGGGGAAACTGCCTCCATGATTCAGTTATCTCCACCTGGCCCCACCCTTGACACATGGGAATTGTTACAATTCAAGATGAGATTTGGGTGCGGACAGAGCCAAACCATATAATTCTTCCCCGGCCCCTCCCAAATCTCATGTCCTCATATTTCAAAAGCAATCATGCCTTCCCCTAAGTCCCCCAAACTCTTATTTCAGCATTAACTCAAAATTCCATAGTCCAAAGTCTCATCTGAGACAAGGCAAGTCCCTTCCACCTATGAGCCTGTAAAATCAAAAGCAAGTTAGTTATTTTCTAGATACACAGGGATACAGGCATTGGGTAGATACACTCGTTTCAAATGGGAGAAATTGGCCAAAGCGAAAGAGCTACAGGCCCCATGCAAGTCCAAAACCCAGCAGGCAAATCTTAAAGCTCCAAAATGACCTCCTTTGACTCCATGTGTCACATCTAGGTGATGCAAGAAGTGGGTTCCCAGGGTCTTGGGCAGCCCCGCCCCTGTGGCTTTGCAGGGTACAGCCCCCCTTCTGGCTGCATTGAGTGTCTGCAGCTTTTCCAGGCACACAGTGCAAGCTGTCAGTGGATCTACCATTCTGGGGTCTGGAGGATGGTGGCCCTTTTCTCACAGCTCTGCTTGGCAGTACCCCAGTGGGGACTCTGTGTGGGAGCTCCAACCCCATATTTCCCTTTGACACTGCCCTAGCAGAGGTTATCCATGAGGGCCCCCCCTCCCCTCCCCTCCCCCCCACAGCAAACTTTTGCCTGGATTTCCAGGCATTTTCATACATCTTCTGAAATGTAGGCGGAGGTTCATGAACGTTAATGCTTGACTTCGGTGCATCTGCAGGCTTAACACCACCTAGAACCTGAAAGGCTTGGAACTTGCACCCTCTGAAGCCATGGCCTGAGGTGTACCTTGGCCCCTTTTACCTATGGCAGGAGCAGCTGGGATGCAGGGCCCCAAGTTCCTAGGCTGCACACAGCAGGGGGTTCTGGACCCACAAAACCATTTTTCCTTCTAAGCCTCCTGGCCTGCGATGGGAGGGTCTGCTGTGAGGGTCTCTAACATGCCCTGGAGACATTTGCCCCATTGTCTTGGTGATTAACATTTGGCTCCTCATTACTTATGCAAATTTCTACAACCCAGTCTCCTGAGAAAATAGATTTTTCTTTTCTGTTGCATCATCAGGCTACAAATTTTCTGAACTTTTATGCTCTGCTTCTTCTCGAATGCTTTGCTGCTTAGAAATTTCTTGTGTCAGATACCTTAAATCATCTCTCTCAAGTTCAAAGTTCCACAGATCTGTAGGGAACTCTAGAAAAAAATTCTTATTTTCCCTCTTTCCCGCCTATCTTATGCCCGTTTCTAATACAGGTGCACAATGCCTGCAGTGTCTTTGCATAGTAAGAGTGACTTTACTCCATTTCCCAACAAATTCCTCATCTGCCTCTGAGACCACCTCCGCCTGGACCTTGTTGTCCATATCACTATTAACATTTTGGTCAAAGCCATTCAACAAGTCTCTAGGAAGTTCCAAACTTTCCCACATTTTCCTATCCTCTTCTGAGCCTTCCAAACTGTTCCAGCCTCTCCCTGTTACCCATTTCCAAAGTTGCTTCCACATTTTCGGGTATCTTTACAGCAGCACCCCACTCTACTGGTATCAACTTATTGTATTAGTCTGTTCTCACACTGCAAATAAAGACATACCTGAGACTGGGTAATTTATAAAGGAAAGAGGTTGAATTGACTCACAGTTCTGCATGGCTGGGGAGGCCTCACAGTCATGGTGGAAGGCAAGGAGGTGCAAAAGCATGTCTCACATAGTGGCAGGCAGGAGAGAGCATGTGCAGGGGAGCTCCCATTTATAAAACCATCAGATCTCATGAGACTTAGTCACTACCGCGAGAACAGTATGGGGGGAACCATCCCCATGATTCAGTTATCTGCACCCGGCCCCACCCTTGACACGTGGGAATTATTACAATGCAAGGTGAGATTTGGGTGGGGACCCATCCAAACTATGTCAGTATGTTTTGACTTCTTGCTTGATTGCTAGGTTGCATAGAGGACAAACATGGAAATTAATGAAGTACCTTAATATCTGGCTTCAGATCTTAGACAGGATCAGAGGGCCAGCTCAAATTTGCAAGGAGGGGAGGTAGATCCCACCATTTTATGGGTGAATGGCAAAATGAAACAGAAATTATGTGGGATGGGAGATACTGATGCAGCCATCTTTGGAAACATTCTACTTAGCTAATTTTATGCTAGGCTTTAGGTCAAGAAGGAGAGAGAGAGCTGACATGCTGTGGTACACACTTATAGTCCCAGCGACTTGGAAAGCTGAGGCAGGAGGATTGCTTGATCCCAGGAGTTTGAGGTAGTGTGCGATGATCGTTCTTGTGAATAGCCACTAGCCACTGAACTCCAGCTTGGGCAACATTGAGACACCCTGTCTCTTAATTTAAAAAAAAAAAAAAAAAAAAAAGGAGGAAAGAAAGTGGTCTCAGTTTTTAATGTAAATATTTTTAATGGGATACTGATATTTTAAGATTAATGTATATTGTATATCAGTTAACTGCAGGTCAATAATTATATAAAACTTAAGGTACGAAAAACATTTATTTTTGCTAACATATCTGTGAGTTGACTGTTGTTGGCTTGGTGAGGCTGCAAGCTGCAGATAGAGTCTAGGTATGTTTTCTGTGTGTTTGTTCCCCCTTGGATCAGTGGACTACCTGAGAATGTGTTTCTGTCACAGTGATAGAATCACAAGGAAACTCCAGTTCTGGAAGTACATTTTAAGCCATTGCTTCTCTCATGTCCACTAACATTCAGTCAGCCAAAGCACATACCTTGTCCATGGCTAACATTGATAGTATAGATAAATATACCTGATCTCTAGCAGGAGGAACTGCATTGTCTTGGGGAAAGGTTTTAGATATAGGGAGGGGTGATGAGTTGGGAACAATAATGTAGTCTGCCGCAAACATATTAAAGTGTAACTGGATATGATTGCTGCAGAATTTTGAACCTTTGTTTTAATTGTGATTTTTACTCTTTCCCCCCTATCTAGTGCCCTTTTGTAATACAGTAATTATCATGATTTTTGTCTGAACTGAAATCTTCTGAGATTAGATTGTCTACGAAAATACAGTCGATCCTCCTTGTTTTCAGCTTTTGTATTTGTGAACTCACCTACTATTTTTTGTAACCCCCAAATCAGTACTCACAGCACTTTCATAGTCATGTGTTTGCGCAGAGTGTCAAAGAATTTGAGTTTGAACAGGATGATATTCTGCCTTCTTTTTCAGCTCTCATACAATAGTCAGGTATCCTTTTTGTGGTCTATTTAATGCCATGCTTTTCCTGTTTTTGTACTGTTTGTTGGTTGTTTTGCCATTTAAATTAACCCCCAAGCATAGTGCTGAAGTGCTGCTTAGCATTCACAAGTCCAAGAAGTCTGTGATGTGTCTTACAGAGAAAATACATGCATTAAATAAACTCCATTCAGGCGTGAGTGCTGTAGTGCCGTTGGCTGTGAGTTCAATGTTAATGAATGAACAATGTATATTATTTATTTATTCTTCATTTAATTAATTATTATTATTATTTTTTTTGAGATAGAGTCTCACTCTGTTGCTCAGGCTGGAGTGCAGTGGTGCAGTCTTGGCTCACTGCAACCTCTGCCTCCTGGGTTCAAGCGATTCCCCTGCCTTCGCCTCCCAAGTAGCTAAGACTACAGGCATGCGCCACCATGCCTGGCTAATTTTTTTTTTTTTTTTTTGTAGTTTTAGTAGAGACGGGGTTTCACCACGTTGGCCAGGCTGGTCTCGAACTCCAGACCTCAAATGATCTGCCCGCCTTGGCTTCCCAAAGTGCTGGGATTACAGGCGTTAGCCACTGTGCCTGGCCAACAATATATATTAAATAAGCACACATACAACAAAAGTAGGTGTTGGTAAGCTTACAAAAGTGTGACCAGTAGCTTGCTGAAACCTAACTTTTTATTTGTTCATGGAACTTTCTAGACCGTAACTACACTGAATAATGAGAATCTGCTGTAATCTTTTTAGGTGCTGTAGATGAGCCATTGGATTAAATTATTACAGTATGTTTCAGACTGCTGTATGTTGAACCCTAGTGAAATGCCTCTCAAACCTTCATAAGGATCACAATCTCATGTCCTTTTTTTTTGTTATTAAATGCCCAGTATGTGTTAGCGATTTAAACAAAATTCAAATATTTTTTTTTTTTTTTTTGAGACAGAGTCTCGCTCTGTCACCTAAGCTGGAGAGTGCAGTGGTATGATCTCGGCTCACTACAACCTCTGCCTCCCGGGTTCAGGCGATTCTCCTGCCTCAGCATCCTGAGTAGCTGGGATTACAGGCACCCGCCACCACGCTGGGCTAATTTTTGTATTTTTAGTAGAGACGGGGTTTCGCCAGGTTGTCCAGGCTGGTCTGGAACTCCTGACCTCATGCGATCTGCCTGCCTTGGCCTCCTGAAGTGCTGGGATTATAGGCGTGAGCCACCATGCCCGGCGTTGACTTCTTAATAATAACCATACTGACTGGTGTGAGATGGTATGCCATTGTGGTTTTGATTTGCATTTCTCTAATGATCAGTGATATTGAGCTTTTTCTCATATGCTTGTTGGCCGCATGTGTGTCTTCTTTTGAAGTGTCTGTTTATGTCCTGTGCCCACTTTCTAATGAGATTTTTTTTTTCTTGTAAATTTGTTTAAGTTCCTTATCAGTGTTGGACATTAGATCTTTGTCACATGCATTGTTGCAAAAATTTTCTCCCATTCTGTAGGTTGTCTGTTCACTCTGTTGATAGTTTCTTTTGCTGTGCAGAAGCTTCAAGAAGAAAGGAATCCGATTGGTTCTGTGTCTGTCTCTTTTGGTATTCTCAGAATTATGTAGTCATTCATATAGAAAGATGATTAGGAAAATAGGACAAGAATAGCAGAAATCTACATAAAAATGTAGGAAATTAAAATTAGTTACCAGCATACAAAAAACTTCTGTATGTTATAATTACATACTATAACTCACCCCTCCTTGGCAAATATTCTCTCTCTTTTGACTTCAAAATCATGGCTTATATGTACTTTCTCTATTTCCCAGATGCAAATATAATTAATTGACTTTATTTATCTAGGAAATGTTACTCATATCTTAATTGTAGTCATTGGCTTGAGTGACGGGTTTTGGTAATTCAACTACTATTACTTGAAAGTAGTAGATTTCATAGGATACTGTTATAAAATCTTTTTAACCTCTTTTCTGATTTCAGGAGTAATTAGTAATTGTGGTTTACTGGAAAATTCAATGAATAGGGTGTTAAAGGAAGCAATTCATTAATAATATATGTAATCTATTGGGAGACTGAGGCGGGTGGATCACCTGAGTTCAGGAGTTCGAGACCAGCCTGGCCAACATGGCAAAACTCCGTCTCTACTGAAAATAGAAAAATTCGCTGGGCATGGTGGTGCATTCCTGTATTCCCAGGTACTCGGAAGGCTGAGGCAGGAGAATCACCTGAACTCCAGAGGTGGAGGTTGCAGCGAGTCAGGATCGCAGCACTACACTCCAGCCTGGGTGACAGTGAGACTCCATCTCAAAAAAAAAAAAAAAAAAAAAAAAAAAAAAATTAAAAAATTAAATTAAAAGCGGGCTGGGCGCATTGGTTCAGGGCCGGGCACGGTGGCTCAAGCCTGTAATCCCAGCACTTTGGGAGGCCGAGGCAGGCGGATCACGAGGTCAGGAGATCAAGACCATCCTGGCTAATGTGGTGAAACCCCGTCTCTACTAACAATACAAAAATTAGCTGGATGTGGTGGCAGGTGCCTGTAATCCCAGCTATTCCAGAGGCTGAGGCAGGAGAATCACTTGAACCTGGGAGGCAGAGGTTTCAGTGAGTCCAGATCATGCCACTGCACTCCAGCCTGGGTGACAGAGCGAGATTCTATCTCAAAAAAAAAAAAAAAAAAAAGCAACAGAAGCAAATGAGAGTGCCTGGGAGTGGTCATTGTGGGGCCTTCCCGTTTGTGTGACCCAGGTCATGTCCCTCCCTAAGCCCTGGTCTCTCTTGCCTCCTGCAGGGCTGGTGAATTACCAGATCTCCGTCAAGTGCAGTAACCAGTTCAAGTTGGAAGTGTGTCTTTTGAATGCAGAAAACAAAGTCGTGGACAACCAGGCTGGGACCCAGGGCCAGCTGAAGGTGCTGGGTGCCAACCTCTGGTGGCCGTACCTGATGCACGAACACCCCGCCTACCTGTACTCGTGGGAGGTAATGGTGGTTTGGGACTTGCGTAAGGGAGGTCTTTTGCCCCCATCTGGTAGCCCTGGCTTCAGCAGGAGCCCAGGACAGGTGAACGGGCAGGTGTGGTCCTCTGAGCTTTCTGATGTTTCCCACCCTTGGTGGGAGGCCCAGATTTTTTATTTATTTATTTATTTATTTATTTATTTATTTATTTGTTTGTTTTTGTGATGGTCTCACTCTGTCACCCAGGCTGGAATGCAATGGCCTGATCACAGCTCACTGCAGCTTTGAGCTGCAATCCTCCTACCTTGGCCTCCTGAGTAGCTGGGACTACAGGCACATGCCACCATGCCTGGCTAATTAAAAAAATTTTTTTTGTAGGCCGGGCATGGTGGCTCACACCTGTAATCCCAGCACTTCGGGAGGCTGACGCGGGCGGATCACTTTAGGCCAGGAGTTGGAGACCAGCCTGGCCAACATGGTGAAACCCCGTCTCTACTAAAATATGAAAATTTGCAGGGCATGATGGTGCACGTCTGTAATCCCAGCTACTCGGGAGGCTGAGGCAGGGGAATTGCTTGAACCCAGGAGGCAGGGGCTGCGGTGAATTGAGATCATGCCGCAGCACTCTATCCTGGGTGACAGAGTGAGACTGTCTCAAAAAAAAAAAACTCCTTTTTATAGAGTTGGGGTCTTACTAGGTTGCCCAGGCTGGTCTTGAACTCCTGGACTCAGGTGATCCTCCTGCCTTAGCCTCCCAAAGTGTAGGGATTCCAGGCATGAGCCACCTCGTCTGGTCAAGGAGAAGGCCTGATTTTGAAGGGCAGGTCCCAGGGTCAGCCAGTGAAGGGCAGAGCCTCTGATTGCTGCTTCTCTGCAGGCCCAGTGGCGACTTCTGGGGTGCATGCACGAGGGGTCTTCCTGCTGTAGGGCAGGCCAGATGGGGCTCAGGCTGTCGGGGCGCTCACACCTGGCGCTTTGGCTGTCGTAGGTGCGGCTGACTGCACAGAAGTCACTGGGGCCTTTGACTTCTACACACTCCCTGTGGGGCTCCGCACTGTGCCCGTCACCGAGAGCCAGTGGGTGAGAGCCAGTTTCATTTGCGGTAGAGGCAGCAGAGGTTGTAGAAATGCTCCTTGAGGCAGATGCCACACCCCAATTTCATGGAGTGATTTGGGCTGAGCCGAGTCTGCAGCAGGCAGAAGGCTCTGAGATGTTGTCCTAGCCTGGGCAAAGGACAATTCAGAGCTCGGGGGAATAGGGGTGTGCTCAGCACGACTGGGTGGACAGGCCGTTTGTTGTGAATCGTACAGGCTTCCAGGAGCGGGTGCCTGAGGCTTCCAGACAGGCTTTGGGAGGTGGCCAGAGGAGATGCCTGTTTCCGGGGCAGGAAATGGAGGGAGGGCCCAGGCTGGAGAGGTTCAGCCAGGCTGTCACAAGGCTTTGAAGCTTCCCATCTGAGAGCCTGGCTATTGGAGAGTGTGGGTTTGGAACTTGAGGCTAGGAGGTTCTATTCTGTCCTGTGCCAGCCACAGCCTTCGGATGGGCAGAGCAATGATGGGGGGAAGATGTAAAAGAAAAGAACTGAGGAAAGAAGAAGAAAACCAGCTTCAACAACGGTCTAGGCCGGATGCGGTGGGTCACGCCTGTAATCCCAGCAGTTTGGGAGGCTGAGGTGGGTGGATCACCCGAGGTCAGGAGTTCGAGACCAGCCTGGTCAACAGGTAGTGAATCCTGTCTCTACTAAAAATACAAAAATTAGCTGGGCATGGTGGTGGACGTCTGTAATCCCAGCTACCAGGTAGGCTGAGGCAGGAGAATCGCCTCAGGTGAACCAGGAGGCAGAGATTGCAATGAGCTGAGATAATGCCACTGCATTCCAGCCTGGGCTACAGAATGAGACTCTGTATCTCAACAAAACAAAACAAAACAAAAACACAACAGTCTGTTCTGTGGAGGCCTTGGGCAGATGCTGGGAGCTCTGAGCACGGACTGGTCCCTCTGTTGGGAGCCTCTTCCCTTCATCCCTCCTGGTTAACTTGACTCAGCATAAAGGCCATTTCTTCTAAGAGCCTGTCCCTGACTCTCCAATCGGGGATGTGTCTGTTGTCTCATAGAGTGCCCAATTCCTGCCACCACTTGTCATTTCCATTCGCAACATTTCTTTCATTGTTTGTTTTTCAGAGTCAGGGTCTCACTCTGTTGCCCAGGCTGGAGTGCAGTGGTGCAATCATAGCTCGTTGCCATCTCGACCTCCTGGGCTTAAGCGATCCTCCCCACTCAGCCTCCCAAATAGCTGGGACCACAGACGTGCGCTGCCTTGCCAGGCTAAATTTTAATATTTTTTTTTCCCCACGAGTCAGAGTCTTGCTCTGTCTCCCAGGCTGGAGAGCAGTGTTGCGATCTTGGCTCACTGCATCCTCTACCTCCTGGGTACAAACAGTTCTCCTGCCTCACCCTCCCGAGTAGCTGGGATTACAGGCTCACGCCACCATGCCCAGCTAGTTTTCTTCTTTATTTTTTGTTGAGATGGGGTTTCACCATGTTGGCCAGGCTGGTCTCGAACTCTTGAGCTCGTGATCCACCTGCCTTGGCCTCCCAAAGTGCTCACAGGCTTGAGCCACCATGCCCGGCCCTAATTTTTAAATTTGTTGTAGAAACAAGGTCTTGCTATGTTGTCCAGGCTGGTCTCAAGCGCCTGGTCTCAAGTAAGCCTCCCAAAGTGCTGGGGTTCTAGGCTTGAGCCACCTCGCCTGGCACTTGCACCGTTTTTCTGTGCATGCATCTCCACTCCCACTGCCCAGGACCTGTGGACTTAGATTTGAGTCATTACTGAGCACCTAGCACCCAGCCTCATGCCTACCTCCCACCTCGCACTACCTGTTTGCTTGATGCATTAATAAATATTCCACCTGAATCCACAGCCCATTCACTCCTGTGTTCAAGAGCTATTTCAGGAAGTGAACCTCATTTCTGGCAGTGTTCAGTCCAGTGACCTCAGCTCTGTGTACCCGGCAGGGTGGCTACGCCTCTGGGGGAGTTGGATTCAGGGGTGGGGGAGAAAGAGTGTTGTTAGAGAGCTCGGTCTAGGACTAGAGGAACGTGCCCTTATGTAAAATACATCTCAAGTTAGGGAAGAAAGCAGCGGCTCTGTGCTTTGTTTTTTTTTTTTTTTTTCTTTTCTTTCTTTTTTTTTGTTTGTTTGTTTGTTTGTTTGTTTGTTTGTTTGTTTTGGGGCAGGGTCTTGCTCTGTGGCCCAGGCTGGAGTGCAGTAGCGTGATTTCGGCTCACTGCAACCTCCACCTCCCGGGTTCAAGCAATTCTTGTGCCTCAGCCTCCCGAGTAGCTGGAGTTACAGATGCGTGCCACTAAGCCTGGCTAATTTTTGTATATTTAGTAGAAATGGGGTTTTGCCATGTTGGCCAGGCTGTTCTTGAACCCCTGACCTCAGTGATCTGCCTGCCTCAGCCTCCTGAAGTGCTGGGATTACAGGCGTGAGCCGTCGTGCCTGGCCCCCAGTTGTGTTCTGGCAGGGGAAGATGGGACAGAGAGGATGGGAGGGTGTCTGAGCCTTTCCCGGACTGACGGAACCTGTGTCTTCTCTCTTTTGTGGACAGGATGGTGATTGCTCACACCAAAGCCTTGGACCCCTCCCAGCCTGTGACCTTTGTGACCAACTCCACCTACGCAGCAGACAAGGGGGTGAGCCTGGGGGTCCCCACCCCATTTCTCCCTGCCTTTGCCTGGGCTTGTCCTGAAGCCTGCTCATGGGAACAGCTGGAAAGAACCATGTGCTGCCAGTCTGAGCTTTTTATTTTGTTTTACTTAGAAAGATAGAGACAGGGTCTTGCCATGTTGCCCAGGCTGGTCTCGAACTCCTGGGCTCAAGTGATCCTCCTGCCTCGGCCTTCCAAAGGGCTGGGGTTACAGGCGTGTGCCACCGCACTCAGCCGCAGCCAGTCTGTTTTCAAAGATGGTCTTTGGGTTAATGACAATTCTCTCTCTGCTTACTCTCCAGGCAGTGTGGCTTTCTGAATCCAAGGAGGCTGGGCATAGGGAGATGGGATTTGTTTGCCCGGTTTGGACTCAGCATTTTTTGTACTCGATTTAATAGACTCATAAAATGTCAAAGGTTTAAGTGAGCTTAGAGTTCATCTGGCCCAAACCTGGCTGATCAGAATCTCCAGGGGAAGTTTTATTGAAATGCCAGATCTCTGCGTTCTGAGATCCTGATTTAGTAACTCCAGGGTTGGAACCTGAGTTTTTTGTTTTTTTGTGTGTGTGTGTGAAGGCAAGGTCTTACTCTGTTGCTCTGGCTGGAGTGCAGTGGTGTGATCACAGCTCACTGCAGCCTTGAATTCCTGGGCCTAAGCAACCCTCTTGCCTCAGCCTTCCAAGTAGCTGGGACTCCGGGGGTACACCACTGTGCCCGGCTAATTTTAAATGTTTTTGTAGAGATGGGATCTCACTATGTTGCCCAGGCCAGTCTCAAACTCTTGAGCTCAAGTGATCCTCCTGCCTTAGCCTCCTAAAGTGCTGGGATTACAGGCATGAGCCACCGTGCCTGGCTGATACTAGCATTCTTTTTTATTTTTTATTATTTTTTTAAGATAGAGTCTTGCTCTGTTGCCCAGGCTGGAGTGCAGTGGCACAGTCTCAGCTCAGTGCAACCTCCGCCTCCCAGGTTCAAGCAATTCTCCTGCCTCAGCCTCCCAAGTAGCTGGGATAACAGGCACATGCCACCACGCCTGCGCTTGATCGTGGGAGGCAGAGCTTGCATTATTGTGCCACTCCATTCTAGCCTGGGCAACAGAGCGAGACTCTGTCTTCCAAACAAAGCGGAAAAAGATTATCTGCGAGAATGACTGCATTGGCCCCTTGGGTGGGAGGGCTTCTCCAGGGCAAGGTGAGGGGATGCCCAGTGCTGGGAGTGCTGCCTGGAGAGGAGTCAGTTCCAGTGGCGGGGGCCCTGGGTTTTGGCTGAGGACTGCGTGTTGGCAGCTGCTCTGCCTCTCACAGCCCTTCCCAGCTGCACACGTCGTGAGCGTCAGTGTGCAATCACAGGCCTGCCTCCTTTGGGCCACTTTGTGACCATGTTTTTTGCTTGTGGGGCAGGGTAATTTCAGGATCTAAATTGGTGCAGTTGGATGTTCTCAGCCCCGAGAGGCAGCTCTTCCCGTTGTAGGCTTTTTGTTTTGTTTTGTAGAAATGGAGTCCTACGACGTTGCCCAGGCTGCTCTCAAACTCCTGGGCTCAAGTGATCCTCCCACCTTGGCCTCCCAATGTGCTGGGATTACAGGCATGAGCCACTGTGCCGTGCTGATTTTCTTGATACTATTTTTTGTAGAGCTGGGGTCTTGCTGTGTTGCCCAGGCTGGTCTCGAACTCCTGGCCACAAGCCACCCTCCTGCCTCAGCCTCCCAGAGTGCTGGGATTACATCCCCTTCTTACCTTCTCTGTCAGAGGAGCCCCCACAGCATGTGAGTACTGAGTCATGCGGTCTTGTGGTTGCTGAACGGGCTCTGCTGCTCTGGTCCTAGGCTCTGTATGTGGATGTGATCCGTGTGAACAGCTACTACTCTTGGTATCGCAACTACGGGCACCTGGAGTTGATTCAGCTGCAGCTGGCCGCCCAGTTTGAGAATTGGTGTAAGACATCACAATCCCATTATTCAGAGCGCGTATGGAGTGGAAACGCTTGTAGGGTTTCACCAGGTAAGCGGTGTTGAACTTTCTGCTTGTGTATTCTCTCTGGGCAGAGATGCCACTTGCCTCCCCCACCATGCCATCTCTGAAGAATATTACAGACCATTTTGGAGCATGGTGAATAAGAAATTTTCACCTTAGGAGTTCAGTTGAATAGTCATTTTTATATTTGTGACTGCAAGTCACTCTTAGGGGCTGTACTTCCTTAGTACTGGTAGCATTATTATCCAATGGACTTTTATAGCTTTCATTAGGTTTTCTTTTGTTTTTGTTCTTTAAAGAACGTTTTACTTATCTTAGTATTTCATTTTTCATCTATATTATGAGGCAGTAAGAGTCTTCTGTTTTTCCAAAGTTGAGACTGCTTTATATTTATTTCGTATTGTCTACAGCTGTAGTGTTCAATACATTAGCCACTAGCCACATGTGGTTATTTAAATAAGATAAAATAAAAATTGGCCGGGCGTGGTGGGTCACGCCAGTAATCCCAGCACTTTGGGAGGCCGAGGCGGGCAGATCATTAGGTCAGGAGATCGAGACCATCCTTACTAAGACGGTGAACCCCCATCTCTATTAAAAATACAAAAAATTAGCCGGGCGTGGTGGCGGGCGCCTGCAGTCCCAGCTACTCAGGAGGCTGAGGCAGGAGAATGGCGTGAACCTGGGAGGCAGAGTTTGCAGTGAGCCGAGATGGCGCCACTGCACTCCAGCCTGGGGGACAGAGCGAGACTCCATCTCAAAAAAAAAAAAGAAAATTAAAAATTAAGTTCTTTAGTTGCACTAGCCATATTTCAAATACTTGATGGATACATGTGGCTAGTGGCTAACATAAGGGATAGCACAGATATAAAACATTTCCTCGTCATATAAAGTTCTATTGGATAGTGCTGGTCTGTAGCTTATAGGATGGTATCTTAGTCTGCTTCAGCTGCTAAAACAGAATACCATAAATTAGGTAGCTTAAACAGTAGATATTTTGACCAGGCGTGGTGGCTTATGCCTGTATTCCTAACACTTTGGGAGGCCGAGGCAGGTGGATAACTTGAGCTCAGGAGTTTGAGACTAGCCTGGGCAGCATGGCAAAACCTTGTCTCTACGAAAATTAGCTGGGCGTGGTGGTGCACGCCTGTAGTCTGAGCTACTTGGGAGGCTGAGGTGGGAGAATTGCTTGAACCTGGGAGGCGGAGGTTGCAGTGAGCCATGATCGCACCACTGTACTCCAGCCTGGATGACAGAATGAGACTCTGTCTCAAAAAAAACAAAAACAAACAAACAAAAAAAAACAGATATTTCTCACAGTTCTGCAGACTGGAAGTGCAAGATCAAAGTGTTGGCAAATTATGTTTCTTAAAGAGGGCCTGCTTCCTAGATTGGAAATGGCCATCTTCTCTCGGTATCCTCACATGGCAGGGAGAAAAGCAGCTCTAGTGTCTTTTCTTATAAAGGAAGTAATGCCACCATAGGGGCTCTATTCTCATGACCTCATCTAAACCTAATTCTCTCCTAAAGGCCACGCCTCCCAGTATCCTCACCTTGGGGGTTAGGGCTTTATCATATGAATTTTTTTTTTTTTTTTTTTTTTTTTTGAGACAGAGTCTCGCTCTGTCTGTCACCCAGGCTGGAGTGCAGTGGCACAATCTCGGCTCTCTACAAGCTCCGCCTCCTGGGTTCACGCCGTTCTCCTGCGTCAGCCTCCTCAGTAGCTGGGACTAAGGCGCCCGCCACTGCGCCCGGCTAATTTTTTGTATTTTCAGTAGAGACGGGGTTTTACCATGTTAGCCAGGATGATCTCGATCTCCTGACCTCATGATCCACCCGCCTCGGCCTCCCAAAGTGCTGGGATTACAGGCATGAGCCACCGCGCCGGGCCTATCATATGAATTTTGAGGGAACACAAACATGCAGTCTGTAGCAGATGGTAATAGGCTGACATATTACACTTGTTGATGTAAATCTGATAGGTTTCTTTCTCTCCAAGGACAGCTTTTTAAATATTTAACAGTATCAATAATTTTTCAGGTTCTGTGAGAATTTTATAATTTATAATTTGCAGACTTAATGTATAATCTATTTTGTCCTAACAATTACAAATATATTTTTTATTTCAGATTGTATATATTCCTACCAGATGGAGATAATTACAGCTTTAAAAATTTTTATTTTTTCATTTTATTTCACACATTGACATTAAATTTTTATGGACACATAATAACTGTACATATATATGGGGTAGAATGTGATGTTTTAATACATGTACTCAATGTGTAATGATCAAATCAGGGTAATTTGCATAATGATTTTTCTGTAGGGAGAAAATTCAAAATCTACTCTTCTGGCTATTTTCAAATATATAATATGTTATTGTTAACTATACTCATCCTACTATGCAATAGGACACCAGAACTTATTCCTGGGTTCTACATCCGTTAAGGCAACCAAGGATTGGAAATATTGGAAAAAAAAATTGCGTCTGTACTGAATATGTACAGACTTTTTTCTTGTCCTTATTCCTTACACAATATAGTACAATAACTATTTGCATGACATTTACATTGGATATTATGAGTGATCTAGAGTTGATATGAAGTATATGGGAGGATGTGCAAAGGTGATGTGCAAATACTATGTCATTTTATATCAGGGACTTGAGTATCCTTTGTTACCCTCAGGAGATCCTGAAACCAGTCCCCCATGGATACTGAGGGCTGACTGTATAGTCCTATCCTCACGGAACTTTCATTCTAATGGGGGAAGACTGACTATAAACAAAATATATGTAATAGGTGGTGGTAAGTACCGTGGAGAAGTAACAAACGGGGCAAAGTGAGTTATACAGCTCCATTCTTAGAAACCTTGGAGTACTTTTCTTAGTTTATACTCGTGGTGGTTTCCTTTTGTCTCCTTTATTACATGGGACTCTGACATGTGCCCATAGCTAGGGTGACAGTAGGATCTACCCGATAGTAGGGTGGCAGTAGGATCTACCCAAAAAGCGTCCTGCTGATACAGGACCAAAGCATCCTGTTGTTCTCGAGCCTATAAAAAGAGCTAATGGTCTTGCTTCTCTTAACTGTGGCCTCCTACACTGTGTTTTGGATGATTGGTGATGTCTTGGATATTCTGTTTCTTTGGAACTTTGAATATACAACACTTTACTAGGGAATTAGCAATGGAAGCAGAGCAAAGATGTACAGAGGAAACAATGCGTAACTCTGATGGAATTGAAGTCATGAGGCAGCAGAGAGCTTAAATTACAGCTTTAAAAATTTTTATTTTTTAGAGGGAATTTACTTGGGAGTAACAGCAGTAATAGTTAACGGAGCCAGAATGCTTGAGTCATATAATTGCAAAGCAGAGTTGGGAGCAACAGATGCTAAAGAGTAGTTGCTGTAGTTCCTCTTTGGGTCGTAGGAGCAGTTGTCATATTACTATATAGCTACTGCATGAAGAAGAGTTCTTAGTGAGGCCTGGGTGAACAGCTCTTCTTAGTATTCTGTGTGACCCCATTTGACCTTTTAACAAATCCCTAAGTAAATAAATAGCCCCTCAGGAAAACTAAGTTTTTCTCTGCTGTTTTTTTGCTTGAGAGAGCTATAACTGTAATAGACTTATATTTCTGAACATTTTAGTGCTTGCCAATATTTGGTAATATTTATGTTTCCTATATTTGTAATGAACATTCTTCTTCCGGTACATTTTTTGTTAAATTATTGTTTGATGGATAAAAGTTCACCTTTTATTGTATAAAATTGACTGAGATTAATTTATACACATTGACAATGGGTAAATAGAATTTTTCAGATTATTAAAAGCTGAAGGATGCCCACGTAAGCAAAAAAAAAAAAGAAAAAACCAACAAAAATAAACCCAAACCCCTCAAACAATTTCGAACACGAAACATTCTTCTGATGCCGGCATCCCTGCTTGCAGGTGTGAAGGGGGCAGGAATCAGCGAGGTGTCCTGGGCTGAGTCCCCGGAGTGGGAAGAGGTGGCAGGAAGGGGATCTGAGGAGGAGAACAGGGGTCCTGGTGGTCTGTGCTTCTTCCCAGACACGGGAGCTGTAGAGGAGACCTCTGCAGCAGATGCTAGGGGGGCCAGTAGGCCCAGGCAGTCTTGGGACTTGGGTCTGTCCTGCTGTGCATCCATAGTGGGTGCTTTAGAAACGGGAGGCCCACCCGAAGCCCCTGTTGCAAGTGAGGACAAAGTGTGGGAAGGCCGTGAGGGTCTGCAGTCCGAGATGGCCTTGTCCTCAACGTGCAGTGCAGTGTTGATGCGGGGCCTAGAGGCCTGGGATCTGGGGGAGCCACCCCTGGGGGCAAGTGTCTGCCCTGGTGCTGTACCTGCCTTCTTCTCACAGCGGGTGTGACCCGAAGAGACAGCCTGAGGTCCGTCCTCACTCACTGTGTTTGAGGAACTGTGGGCCAGCTGGCAGTGGGATGAGGCTGGCCCCCTCCTCCGCTTTAGTTGCGGGAGGCCTTCCGTAGAGCTGTGGGAGCTGGAGCTGGCATTTCCTTGGAGGCAGGATCTGGTCCGGGAGGTCTGGGATCTCTGGTTATATCTCACTTCTGACCTCTGGACACGTGCTGCAGCTGTGGCTGAGGCCAAGAAATGTGAGGGGCCTCCATCCACTGCATTGAGTAGTGACCCCGACGTGGGGTTCAATGTGGAGGGGGGAGGGGCTGCTGCTGCAGCTGCAGGAGCCGAGGTGCCAGGCCTTGTTCTTCTCATGCCGGCATCGCTGCTTGCAGCTGTGAAGGGCGCGGGAATCAGCGAGGTGACCTGGGCTGAGTCCCGTGAGTGGGAAGAGGTGGCAGGAAGGGGATCTGAGGAGGAGAACAGGGGTCCTGGTGGTCTGTGCTTCTTCCCAGACACGGGAGCTGTAGAGGGGACCTCTGCAGCAGATGCTAGGGGGGCCAGTAGGCCCAGGCAGTCTTGGGACTTGGGTCTGTGCTGCTGTGCATCCATAGTGGGTGCTTTAGAAACGGTAGGCCCACCCGAAGCCCCTGTTGCAAGTGAGGACAAAGTGTGGGAAGGCCGTGAGGGTCTGCAGTCCGAGATGGCCTTGTCCTCAACGTGCAGTGCACTGTTGATGCGGGGCCTAGAGGCCTGGGATCTGGGGGAGCCACCCCTGGGGGCGAGTGTCTGCCCTGGTGCTGTACCTGCCTTGTTTTCACAGCGGTGACCCGAAGAGACAGCCTGAGGTCCGTCCTCACTCACTGAGGAACTGTGGGCCAGCTGGCAGTGGGATGAGGCTGGCCCCCTCCTCCGCTTTAGTTGCGGGAGGCCTTCCGTAGAGCTGTGGGAGCTGGAGCTGGCATTTCGTTTGAGGCACGATCTGGTCCGGGAGGTCTGGGATCTCTGGTTATATCTCACTTCTGACCTCTCGACACGTGCTGCAGCTGTGGCTGAGGCCAAGAAATGTGCGGGGCCTCCATCCACTGCATTGAGTAGCGACCGCGACGTGGGGTTCAATGTGGAGGGGGGAGGGGCTGCTGCGGCAGCTGCAGGAGCCGAGGTGCCAGGCCTTGTTCTTCTCATGCCGGCATCCCTGCTTGCAGCTGTGAAGGTGGCAGGAATCAGCGAGGTGACCTGGGCTGAGTCCCGGGAGTGGGAAGAGGTGGCAGGAAGGGGATCTGAGGAGGAGAACAGGGGTCCTGGTGGTCTGTGCTTCTTCCCAGACACGGGAGCTGTAGAGGGGACCTCTGCAGCAGATGCTAGGGGGGCCACTAGGCCCAGGCAGTCTTGGGACTTGGGTCTGTCCTGCTGTGCGTCCATAGTGGGTGCTTTAGAAATGGGAGGCCCACCCGAAGCCCCTGTTGCAAGTGAGGACAAAGTGTGGGAAGGCCGTGAGGGTCTGCAGTCCGAGATGGCCTTGTCCTCAACGTGCAGTGCACTGTTGATGTGGGGCCTAGAGGCCTGGGATCTGGGGGAGCCTCCCCTGGGGGCGAGTGTCTGCCCTGGTGCTGTACCTGCCTTGTTTTCACAGCGGTGACCCGAAGAGACAGCCTGAGGTCCGTCCTCACTCACTGTGTTTGGGGAACTGTGGGCCAGCTGGCAGTGGGATGAGGCTGGCCCCCTCCTCCGCTTTAGTTCCTGGAGGCCTTCCGTAGAGCTGTGGGAGCTGGAGCTGGAGCTGGCATTTCGTTTGAGGCAGGATCTGGTCCGGGAGGTCTGGGATCTCTGGTTATATCTCACTTCTGACCTCTGGGCACGTGCTGCAGCTGTGGCTGAGGCCAAGAAATGTGAGGGGCCTCCATCCACTGCATTGAGTAGTGACCCCGACGTGTTGTTCAATGTGGAGGGGGGAGGGGCTGCTGCGGCAGCTGCAGGAGCCGACCTTGTTCTTCTCATGCCGGCATCCCTGCTTGCAGCTGTGAAGGTGGCAGGAATCAGCGAGGTGACCTGGGCTGAGTCCCGGGAGTGGGAAGAGGTGGCAGGAAGGGGATCTGAGGAGGAGAACAGGGGTCCTGGTCGTCTGTGCTTCTTCCCAGACACGGGAGCTGTAGAGGGGACCTCTGCAGCAGATGCTAGGGGGGCCACTAGGCCCAGGCAGTCTTGGGACTTGGGTCTGTCCTGCTGTGCGTCCATAGTGGGTGCTTTGGAAACGGGAGGCCCACCCGAAGCCTCTGTTGCAAGTGAGGACAAAGTGTGGGAAGGTCGTGAGGGTCTGCAGTCCGAGATGGCCTTGTCCTCAACGTGCAGTGCAGTGTTGATGTGGGGCCTAGAGGCCTGGGATCTGGGGGAGCCACCCCTGGGGGCAAGTGTCTGCCCTGGTGCTGTACCTGCCTTGTTTTCACAGCGGTGACCCGAAGAGACAGCCTGAGGTCCATCCTCACTCACTCTGTTTGAGGAACTGTGGGCCAGCTGGCAGTGGGATGAGGCTGGCCCCCTCCTCCGCTTTACTTCCTGGAGGCCTTCCGTAGAGCTGTGGGAGCTGGAGCTGGCATTTCGTTTGAGGCACGATCTGGTCCGGGAGGTCTGGGATCTCTGGTTATATCTCACTTCTGACCTCTGGACACGTGCTGCAGCTGTGGCTGAGGCCAAGAAATGTGAGGGGCCTCCATCCACTGCATTGAGTAGTGACCCCGACGTGGGGTTCAATGTGGAGGGGGGAGGGGCTGCTGCGGCAGCTGCAGGAGCCGACCTTGTTCTTCTCATGCCGGCATCCCTGCTTGCAGCTGTCAAGGGGACAGGAATCATCGAGGTGACCTGGGCTGAGTCCCGGGAGTGGGAAGAGTTGGCCGGAAGGGGATCTGAGGAGGAGAACAGGGGTCCTGGTGGTCTGTGCTTCTTCCCAGACACGGGAGCTGTAGCGGGGACCTCTGCTGCAGATGCTAGGGGGGCCACTAGGCCCAGGCAGTCTTGGGACTTGGGTCTGTCCTGCTGTGCATCCATAGTGGGTGCTTGAGAAACGGGAGGCCCACCCGAAGCCCCTGTTGCAAGTGAGG